>NC_000012.12:41854067-42005582 GCF_000001405.40 Homo sapiens | reverse complement strand
ATACATAAGAAAAACTGTATTTAAAATTTCTTTTTCTCCCTGTAATTCCTGTAATTGCAGAATTTATATTTTGAAAACTTCTTTCTTTCTTTCTTTCTTTTTTTTGTTCTAATGCTCACCGAGTCACATGGAGAAGTAGGAAGTACCCAGAGTTTGGTGAAAGGCAACAGAATTCTTTGGGAAGTTCTTAGAATATGTATTCTCCCCAGATAAGACAGTTTCTGAAAGTTCCCAGTTTTACATATTCTGAAAAGAGAGTCAGGGAAGAGCAGAGAAGGGCATGGGGCTGCAAGCAGGATTCCAAGTTCTGGCTTTGCCACTTGCCTGCTATGCAATTTTGGGTAACTTAGTCAAGACCCCTCTCTGTGCCTCAGTTTCCTTCTTACTAAATCAAGAGGGTTCTAAGGGCTTGGCAGTACAGAACGTCGCATGTGATGTGAGGAGAATATGGGTATGAATGTGTGGATGGAGTGGTGGCTCTGGGGCAGGATCGCCCGTGCTTGAATATTACTAACTGTGCAATTCTGGCCAGTCACTTCAACTTTTTCCAGCTCAGTTTCTTCATCTATAAAGTGAGAATAATTATGATCAGACCTACCTACCTCCTTTGACGATTTATCTGTTGATGGACACTTAGGTTGATTCCATATCTTAGATATTGTGACTAGTGCTGCAATGAGTATATAACAGTTAATACACACAAAGTGTTTAAAACAGTGCCTGGGCACAGAGTGCTCTGCAAATGTCAGCTTAATATTATTATATTGATGTATTGTCAATTTGGAAGCAAAATATTCTTTTTAGAAAAAAATCCTTTTTACCATGAGGATTTAGGTTAGTCTCAAATCTTCAACCAAGGACATCCCTTATCCTTCATTATTTCCCAGGCTTTCTTTGATTTCTGAGTTTCTCCTCACTGTTGTCCCATAATTCTAGTACATTTATGGAGTGCTTAATGCATGCTAGTGAATTGCTCCTGTGGCACTGTCATGGTGAAGCTTCACCACACCCCACCAAGTGTGCACCTGACATTCCGGGTGAGGACAATTGCTGAGGGTCACATAGCCAGTAAGTGGCAGTGACTGCTCCGAAACACATACTCTTCAACTATATTTTATTTTTTATTTTCAGCTCACCCTTTTCTTTCTTTTTTTATTTGTGAGAATTTATGGAGTATATGAGAAAATGTGTTACATGCATATAATGCATAGAGATCACATCAGAGTGTTCAGGGTGTTCCTCACTGTAGTGCAATATAATTTTGTGAAGTATAGTCATCCTACTCTGCCATCAAATATTGAATTGATTCCTTTTATGTTACTATATATTCATATCCTTTAACCGACTTCACTTCTCCTGTGCTCTCCTTTCCCCTGCCCCTCTGCTGGCCCTTCCCAGTCTCTGTTATCTGTATTACCACTCTCTACCTCCATGAGATCAACCTTTTGCCTTCAACATGTAAGTAAAATATGTGATATTTGTCTTTTGTGCCTGGATTATTTTGCTTAAGATAATGACCTCAAGTTCCATCATTGTTGCTACAAATGACATGATTTCTTTTTTTTATGGCCGAATCGTATTCCATTGTGTATATATACCATATTTTCTTTGTCCATTCATCTACTGATGGACACTTAAGTTGATTCTCTATTCTAGATATTGTGAATAGTGTTGTGATAAACATGTAAGTGCTGGTATCCCTTTGACATATTGATTTTTCCTTTGGGTAGATACTCAGTAGTGGGATTGCAGGATCAAATGCATACTATTGTTCATTCCACCTCCCCTCCCTACCTGACACTTCCCTGCTTTTCAAACTCTATTCTTTTTGTGACCCATGCCAGTCTATCTTGGCTTTGACCCTTTTGGAGTAGCACTTACTTCCTCTCCTGCTCATTTGGGCCTTGGACCTCTTATTATTCTCTAAATGTCTCATCCGTGTGTATGTCTCGCTAAAAGACTGCAAATTCCTTGAATACAGGGCCATGAGATCTCTCAACAGGACAGTTTTATGTCAGGTATAGAGTGGTAATTTTTTGTTGAATTAAATGTATTATGCATGTGTGTTAGTTTCTGGGGCTGCCATAACAAAATACCACAGACTGGGTGGCTTAAACTACAGAAATTTATTTTCTCACAGTTCTGGTGGCCAGAAGTTCAAGACCAAGGTGTCAGCAGGTCTGGTTTCTCCTGATGCCTCTCTCCTTGGCTTGCAGATGGCCACCTTCTCACTGTGTCCTCACATGGTCTTTGTGCACACACATTACTGGTGTCTCTGTGTTTCTAAATTTCCTCTTCTTATAAGGTCAGCAGCCAGATTGGATTAGGACCCAGCCTAATGGCCTCACCTTAACTTAATCACAATGCGACTTAATCATTTTAACTGAATCAGAATGTGACTGTATTTGGAGATAGATTTGGGGCCTTAGAGGCTTTTAAGTGAAGGGCCTTATCTCCAAATACAGTCACATTCTGAGGTACTGGAAGTTAGAGCTTCAACATGTGAATTATGGAGAGAAGGCTGACACAGTTGAGCTCATAACAGAATGTGTCTTTAAAATAACTCACAGTTGTACTGAATATGAAGTGCTGATCAAAAGTTAGAATGTCCTATAAATATATGATCTCATATATAGAGGGATTTAATAAAAATTGATTTCAGAATTCACTAGCTTTGATTAAAATAATTTCCAGGTTTCCAACAGGTAAGCCAATGATAGCTACGTGGTCTGCCTAATCACAAGTCATGGCCCATTTGAGATTTTAAAATAACCTTTATTTTACCCAATCAGTTAGCACATATGTGGGAGAGGCCTAACCACCCACCCACTTCTACTCCCTCCAGGTGTCACATCAGCAGGTGTGAATCAAATTAGCAATTTGTGAAGGAAGCTGAATGTAATCAGTTACACAATTTCCAGCTGTTCAAATTTAATCCATTAAATTACATCATGAAACAGACCCATCATGAAGCACTGAAAATAAAATGAAAAAAGCATGAATAAAGGCCTTTCCCTGGGAAATGCTATTATGAGAGAGGTCTCCTGAGTCCTCCAGACCTGTGTGTGAGTCCTGGCTCTGTCACTTAGTAGTTTCTGAACTTGATCAAGGCTCAGTTTCCTCACCTGGGAAATAGGGCTAATAATGATCACTGCATACATAGGTTTTGAGAATTAAATGAGATGTTGAAGGAAAAAATAATCCTCTGGTATGTGAACAGCATGAGAGTAAGGACTTTGTTTCTTTCCTTCATTGATTTATCTCCAGTGTTTAGAGCAATGACAGAAAATAGTAGGTGCTCACTAAATGTTTATTGAATGAATTAATGAATAAATAAAAGAACTCCCACAGAGCAATAGTGATAGCTTTCATGGACATAAGGCAGAGGTTCTCAAGTCTGGCTGCACATTAAAAGTGGGGAGCTTTTAAAAAAATACCAACGCCATGGCCCCCAACCTATAGAATCTCATTTATTGGTTTGAGTTCAGCCTTTAGCATTGGGATTTTTTTCCCACAGCACATACCATCTTCTAATACACAATTTAATCAATACATCTGCTCTATAATCTTATCATACACATGCTAATTGTAATTGTGTAATAATAAATATCATATTTTTTGTTTCTAGTTCATCTCTTCCCTCTAGCATGTAAGCTTCATGAGTGTAGAGCTTCTTCCTAAGTGCTTAGAACATACTTAACACCTAGATTCTCAATACATATTTGATAAACAAATGAATGATCAAGGTATATGATCCAAATAATTTGGAAGTAGCTGAAGTTTATTTATTTATTTATTTTTTTGAGACGGAGTCTCGCTTTGTCACCCAGGCTGGACTGCAGTGGTGTGATCTCAGCTCACTGCAAGCTCTGCCTCCTGGGTTCATGCCGTTCTCCTGCCTCAGCCTCCCGAGTAGCTGGGACTACAGGCACCCGCCACCATGCCCGGCTAATTTGTTGTGTTTTTAGTAGAGGTGGGGTTTCACCGTGTTAGCCAGGATGGTCTCTATCTCCTGACCTCATGATCCGCCTGTCTAGGCCTCTCAAAGTGCTGGGATTACAGGCGTGAGCCACCGCGCCCGGCCTGAAGTTTATTTTTTTTAAGTGGCAAATTTTACTGATTAGAAAGACAGAAAAGTTCAATTGGTTGGTAGTAGGAGGTGAATTAGAGGGAGGGGCTATCACCACAGCTGGTGGGTGTTGGAGAAGGAATCCCACACCTCCTGGGATGAGTCCTTGGCAGGGATTAGACAATGGAAAGCCCAGGTAAGTCTAGAGGAAAGTTCCAAGGCAGGGATGCTTGTGATTTTCTTCCTAGGTGAAGTCTGAGAGAACAGAAAGCCACTTAGATCCAGGGTCCCCTGCACCAATGGAGTTCCCAGTAGATTAAAAATGGTGGAGTGGTTTGCATGAGCAGAGAAGAGTTTACAGCCCATTATCATCAAGTTTCCTGGCCCCTGAAGTAGTGTGGAAGAGTGAGGAAAGTTTTCTCTAGTCTTGGGAGGGGTGAAGAAGTGGCTGAGAGTGGCCAGAGACCCAGGAGGCCTTGCCATCCAGACAAGAAGGCTCCAGGTGAGCAGCATGGTTCTGGCGCCCAGAGAGGAGGGCGGAGCCTGCATGGCTCAGCAGCAGCTACAGTGTGGTTAGTGACAGAACAGTGAGAACCTCTGTTATATTAGTATATATTAGTTATATTAGTAGCGGACACAGCGTGTGACTGGGGCAGATTGAGATGGAGAAAGGACGCTCTATTCCAACAGGCAGCTGCTTTAGGTCCTGCGACTGAAAGAATCTCTGGTGGGCTGAAAAAAAAAAGAGTTAAAAGCAGAGGGTGAGAACTTTGGATTAAGTTTTCTTGAAACTGACTAGACTAAGTTTTCTGCTTCAGGTGGAATGCACTTTGACAGCTAAGGTGGCCAGGATTTTAGGGACACAATTTTTTTAAAGTTCCATTTTTGTACATCTGAGTTTGTGACTGCAAAATTTATACCTGTACAGTAGCGATCTTATTACGTTTTATCATTATTATGCACTTGGCTCACGTGTGTGTCCAGTCCAGTGGCTGCCCATCAAGCACGGTCTCCATGGCCTCATCATCACCAGCAGGACACTCAGGTGGCTGGCTTGCATGGTTCCTGATCACATGGCCAAGCTTTGAAGGCTCCCATCAGGGTCAGCTCCAGGTGAGCTTCTTGGGTCTTGAACAGAACTGACCCTTTGATTTTATTTATTTATTTATTTTTTGAGACAGAATCTCACTGTGTCACTCAGGGTGGAGTGTAGTGGTGAAATCTAGGCTCACTGCACACTCTGCCTCCTGGGTTCAAGTGATCCTCCTGCCTCAGCCTCCCAAGTAGCTGGGACTACAGGCGTGCGCCACCATGCTGGCTAATTTTTTTGTATTTTTAGTAGAGACGGGGTTTCACCATGTTGGCCAGGCTGGTCTCGAAACCCTGACCTCAAGTGATCCGCCTACCTCAGCCTCCCAAAGTGCTGGGATTACAGGCGTAAGCCATTGTGCCCGGCCAGATCCTACCCTTTCAGTATCTTCAGATGGCAGGGTGTGGAATAGTCTCTGATGTCTCAATTTCCCAGCCAATGTATTAAGCCTATTTGATTTCTGTGGCCAACCATTCCTCAAACTCCAGGATGGCCTCGAAGGGCACAGACAGCTTCGGTGAACTGGACTGGAGCCCAAATTTGGTTTTAGAAGAATAATGAGCTGGTCTCTCATGCAAACACACATCTTACCTGAAAATCTTTGAGCTATTTCAAGATTCAACTCAGGTTGGTATTTAAGGCCTTATATACAGGAATCTCCAAACATTCCCTTGAAGACACATGAAGTTCCTTGTTTTCTGTGAGTAGCAGGCTCTTTCAGCTGTCTTGGCTGGTTTTACATCTGGTCCTTTGATTGCCGAACTCCCTGCTTCATCCTTTCCACTTCTGTTCATCCTTTGAGTCCTGGGTCAAATGCTGCATCCTTTTTGAAATCTTTCCTAACTCTTCTGGTCTCAGTCCAGGGACTCTCACAGCATTTGATACTGTCTCTAAAGCACTTTTCACATTGTTCTCTAATTATTTATTTTTATACTTATTCTTTCGCTAGTCTGTCAATTGTTCAAGCCAATAAGTTGTGTGCCTAATTTGAGTTATTCCCAGCATGCCCTGCATCTTCCTGCAAGTGTGTGTGTGTGTGTAGTGTGTGCACGTAGAGAATTCCCTGGAAATCACATAGCTCTGGAGTCTTTCTATGGAGTATGACATGATCAGTATCCTCTCAGGATAGTATATGATCACATCCTATTCCGCAGAAAGGTCTTTGAGCACAACGGCATTCCCACTGGAGTCCCATCAAGGGAGCCTTGGTTCCTGAGAACCTAGATGAGTTGTACCTAAAGTGTGGTTCCCAGTCCCACAGCCTCAGCATCACCTGGGAATGTGTTAGAAATGCAGATTCTGAGGCCCACCACGACCAACTGAATTAGGAACTCTGGAGTGGGCCCCAGCAACTGTGTTTTCTTATGCCCTTCAGGGGATTTTGTGGGTGCCACTCCCGGCCTTGGACCCACTCCAGGCATCTCCATGGTTACAGAGGCAGGGAATTGGGGGCTGGCAGGGAGTGGGGAAGGCTGAGGTGGGTAGAGGAGTGAAACTCTCCCACAGTGCCTTTCACTCAGATTGGGGGTAGAGGAAAAATCCCCACGGGGTGATTGTGTCTTTCCCCTGCACCCCACTTGTTGCTGTCCCGACAGGTTTTTCCATCTCAGCCCTTCCCCTAAAATTCGAGCCCCCTGAGGAGGAACGATAGAGCTATCCCGTCTCTCCATGGATAGGATCATGCCGCTGCTTTGATGGATAAAGTGAGAGCGAGGTGCTGTGGAGGCTGGCAGGCTTTGGGGTGTTCTGTGTTGCCAAGGCAGCGCCTCGCTCGAGCCGAGGAAGGGCCTCTGAAGGGGAAAGGGAAGCAGCTCCGCCACCCCAAGGATGCGTGCCGCTGCGCTCTTGACAGGCAGAAGACAGGGAAGTGAATGTTTTAGTATTTTATAAATCATTTGGAGGAAATTATGTTTTATTTATGTTCATTTTTGAATGTATTTGAATTTTTATTACAGATATTTTTCAAAGATGCAAGCATTACAGGCAATCCTGGGGGGACAGGCACCTCAAAAGGATATGGCAGGGGCCAGCCTGATTGGCTGAGGGGGCAGACGTTATTCAAATTTTAAAGAGGAGTCTGAAGCTGGCTTTCAAAGGGACAAAATCTGAATGAAACTCAAAAGTTTTAAATCGTGACTATGAAGTACTTGGATTTGAAAGGAAGGTTAATATAAGGGAATCACAGTGCTGCCTGAGTGAAGTGGAGAGGAATCTGGACTGAGAAAGAAGGAGGAATTTGGGATGAATCTTAATGAAATGGGTTCATTCATTGTGTGGGCAAGGTCCCCGGCTACTTCTTCAAAATTCCCCTTCTCTGGTATAATTGAGCTTGCAATTATATATCCGCAAAAACAATAATGTAAGATGGTCCCTGGAATGCAGCTCAGGGGCACCAACTCTTTCACCTGCCTTCATTACCAGTGCACATCATGAAAGCTACTTCCCCAGGGGGATTGATTGTGTGGCTACAGGCACCAATCAATGAAATGGGCCAGAATGATTGTACTGTGTTACCATGAGGTTCATTTCCAGCAGAGATATGACCAGTGTCTCCCTACTGCTTGAACGGCAAAGGACTTTGATGCTGTTGAAACCAAAGTGAAAATGGACACACAGACATTTTTCTTGTGATTTTGCTTCTACAAACAGATATTTGCTCAGTTTTTGCAAGAATGTTGAATTTATGGACATAAATGTTCATGAAAGTATGAAGTTAGTCATGGTATGTTAAAAGTATGTTCTCAATACATGAGGAATGGCAAATGGAGATAAGGTGCATTTCTTCTCCAATGTACCACTGAAACAGGACATAGGAAAACATTTCAGGGTAGAAAGATGCGTGCCAGTGCTGGGTGCTGGTACATTTCTTATACTGAATTTCATAGTTCTCCTTATCATGTGATAGTATGTGATAATGTTAAAAAGATTAGTCCAGAAAGTAAATAATGCCTTTAGGATGGAAAAACAAGAGTCAAATAAAACACTTTTGTTGGAGAAAACTATAAATTAAAAGGTTTTAAAAGGCATTTTGAATAACAATATTAGCTGCCATTTATTTATGACTAAGATGTAATACCATTCCCAGAACTTGGTGTTTATGCACCAGTTAATTCAACCCATATTTTTGAGTTATTAAAGTGTGCCAGGCACTGGTGTGGGCCATTAAGGTTAACAAGCCGGACCTGTATATCCATTCACACAACTTGTCAAAGTGCGTGCCTGCTAGCTGTACTTCACAGCTGCAGAGTTGAAAGCTCACAGCCATCGTGTCAGAGGTTCTCAACTCTGCTCTAGTGGTAGAATCATGGGTTGGGGATGGGGGCAGTTCTGCTTTGGAAAAATGCTGATGTCCAGGCCCTACCTGAGACTGATTAAATCAGAATCACTAAATATGGGGCTAGGAATCAGTATATTCTTTTGAAGTTCCCTCAGGGCTTCTGATGTGCATCTGGGGTTAATAGGAACACACTGCAAGGTTGCATGGGTCTGCTTAGGGATGGAACCTAAGCCATGAAGTCAGGTGGATGCAGCACATTAAGAATGAGTAAACTCAGCCTCTGTGCTATGTGGTGTCGCATTTTCGAAAGCTGGTTGTTATCAGCAGGAATATGCTCCCAGGGGCTCATTGTTTCTCGGCACAATCTCTGCTTTAGGCCCCTCTGTTTCTTGAAAAGTCTTGTCAAGGTTCCCAGTCTGAAGACAAATATGTGGTCCTCTGAAGGCTTTTCACTTAATAGACTACTACCCACCATGTAGCCCGTGTGCTTTGTAATTTCACTTAAAATGTTTGTTATATTTATTATAGTAATAGGAGTGGCAGAGATAGTGTGGAGATAGATAGAAGGCGCCGCTGAAGCCTCCTTTGGTCCTCTTGGAGGATAGCAGGTTATCGCTTTGTTTTCAAATAATGCAGTTGGTAATAAGTTTTTGGATATATGTGAGCTGTAAATCGTTCTGAAAATTGAACTGAAGATACAATATCATAAATCTCTTCCTTGGTGGTAGAATATTTATGGGGAGAGCAATATAATCAGTTATGTGGCTGTGCTATGTCTGACATCTGACTGAAGGGGACCCTGTACCAAGGATCTATCGCTTATTAGAAAACTCCTGTGGGTGAGCATGTGTGTGTGTGTGTGTGAGTGTGTGTGTGTGTGTGTGTAGGTTGGAAGACTCTTTTAAATGGGGATAATCAGATATTTCCTTATTAAAATTAATCGGGAATGCATTAGTGGAGCAGGTAGGGATGCTGGGGTAGCATGGTGCTGGTAGGGCAAGGAGACGCAGGACGCTTTACCCTCCTGGGCAGCCTCCTCCTCGACCGGGTGGTGTATAATTTGGTTCCCAAAATCAATGCTTGTTTGTTCTGGGAACTCAGAATCCTAAGAAAATGCACGTTTCATTAGACTTGTTTTGAAACTCATGATCATCACTGTAAATACCTCTGTGTGGAAAGCAATGAAATAAAACCAAAAGAAGTAGTGAAGTCATGGCAAGCTGTGAGAAGTGAACATGCAGGCAGCAGTAGACAATATTGTCAAGATTTTTCTTTTGGATCATGACAATTATTTAAAAGGAAAAATTCTTCAATCACTACTTAATGGCTTTCAAACTTTTTTCCTTTGGTTTGTAGGGAAACAATTTTTTTAAAAACAAAATCTGACTTGCGGCCCCATTGTATAAAACAGATCAAAGGTTGAAGTTGGGGAAGTGACTCAAGTCTTTGTCTACTTAGCCTCTCATATCATCTCTCTCCAACACCCCAGATGCACCCCACCACCCTAGGGTGTGCTGGTGATAGTTCTATAACTGTTGACCTAGTCCAGCTCTCCTCTTTCAGAGATGAGGAAACTATGTCCAGAAAATGTCAACTTTCAAAGAGAAGACAGGGACAAGGATTCTTAAATCCATTCTTGTGCTGCTCCTACTGACATAGAAGAATGTGTGGCTGCTTTTGGGTGAGATAACTAATTTGTTAAGGTAGTGTGATTGGTCTTACCTCCTTAAAGTCTTTTCTTAAACTTAACTTTCCTTCTTTCCCTCCTTCCTTCCTTCCTTCCCTCCTTCCTTCCTTCCCTCCTTCCTTCTTTCCTTCCCTCCCTCCTTCCTTCCTTCCTTTCTTCCTTCCTTCCTTCCTTCCTTCCTTCCTTCCTTCCTTCCTTCCTTCCTTCCTTCCTCCCTTCCTCTATTTCTTTCCTCCCTCCCTCCCTCCCTCTCCCTTTCTTTCCTTTTTTTTCCAGAGCTTCACTCTTGTCACCCAGGCTGGAGTGCAATGGTGTAATCTTGGCTCACTGCAACCTCCGCCTCCTGGGTTCAAGTGATTCTCCTGCCTCAGCCTCCCAAGTAGCTGGGATTACAGGCATGCACCACCATGCCTGGCTAATTTTGTATTTTTAGTAAAGACGGGATTTCTCCATGTTGGTCAGGCTGGTCTCAAACTCCTGACCTCAGGTGACCTGCCCACCTCACCTTGGCCTCCCAAAGTGCTGAGATTACAGGTGTGAGCCACTGCGCCTGGCTTTTTTTTTTGAGAGAGGGTCTCTCTCTGTTGCCCAGGCTGGAGTGCAGTGGCACAATCATGACTCACTGCAACCTCCACCTCCTGGGCTTCAAGTGATCCACCTCAGCCTCTGAGTGGCTGGGAGTACAGGTGTGTGTGCCACCACACCCGGCTAATTTTTTGTAGAGATGGAATTTTTCCCTGTTGTTCAGGCTGGTCTTGAACTCCTGGACTCAAGCAATCTACCCACCTTGGCCTCCCAAAGTGCTGGGATTACAGTCATGAGCCACCATGCATGGCCAAACTTCACATTCTTATTAATAATAAATTTTACTCTGATTACCTCATTTAAAATTACAACCCTCCCCATGGTCCTCTATACTTCCTAAAATGTTCTATATATTTTTTCAGAGTACTTGTCACCTCTTTACATATGATACCATTTATATTATTTATTTTTGTTTGTTGTCTGAACCTTCACCCCCTCACCCCAACTACAATCTAAGCTTCATGAGAGCAAGGAATTTTTTAAAAAATCTCTTTTGTCCACTGATGTATCCCTAGTATCTAGAACAGTGTCTGACACATAGTAGATGCTCAGTACATATTTGCTGAATACATAAATGTTATGAGCAATGATTATAGGCTAATGAGATGGTCTTCATAAGTTATCCATGACCACCTCACTCATACTATGTATTAGGCTTTACAGGGACACAGAAAAGTCTCCACAAATCTAATTAGCTCAACCATAGTCTCCCTTCAAGAGGAAAGTAATGGCCTTCTGAATCAACACTCCTCTAGGAAAGCCCTGTAAATTTTGCCTTCAGTAGCCTCTGCCTATTGGGAAGATGAAAACAGGCATAACAGGACTAGGCCAGGGGTACTTAATTCAAGGAGTGCGTGAACTTGGAGGAGACAAAAACCCTACATCTTTATTTTCATTAACTTCTAGCTGAAATTTAGCATTTTCTTCAACTATAAATATAGGCAACAAACCCCAAGAAACTTTGTTTGGCCATAAAAACCATGGATTTTTTTCCATATTACATTATTGGTTTAGCAGATGTATAAAAATAGCATTTTCACTTATTTCCACTTCAAATTTATGGTCATTACTATACCTGTGTCTAGATTTTATTATTTAATGCAAAAATAAAGAATCACATATATTGCTTCCCATTGGGTTTGGCCAACAGGACAAGATCAGAGGACATGAGAGAGAGGTCAGGGTCTTGATTCCCCTGGCTCCCCTCCTGTGTGGCTGGAGGTCAGCAGAGACTGTACTCGTTGCTGAAGGCCATTGCTCCTGTCAGGAGCTCTCTCCACAGCTCTTTTGGGCCCCTGTGAGTCTGAGGCTGTGATATGGTTTGGCTATGTCCCCACCCTAATCTCACTTTGAACTGTAGTTCCCATAATCCCCACATGTTGTGGGAGGAAGCTGGTGGGAGGTAATTGAATCATGGGGACTATTACCCCCATGCTGCTGTTCTCATGATAGTGAGTGAGTTCTCATGAGATCTGATGGTTTTATAAAGGGCTTTTCCCTCTTTGCTAGACACTTCTCCTTCCTGCCATCACGTGAAGAACATGTTTGCTTCCCCTTCCACCATGATTGTAAGTTTCCTGAGGCCTCCCAGCCATGCAGAACTGTGAGTCAGTTAAACCTCTGTCCTTTGTAAAATACCCAGAATACTGCAGTTCTTTATAGCAGCATGAAAATGGACTAAGATGGGTGGTAATAGTTCTCTGTTCTTGCTGACTCTGTGATCCTTCACCATTTTTGTTTGTTTCTCTTAATCTGCCCCCATAACTTTTTAAGTAGCTATTTCATGAAATGCTCTTTAATCATCCCCTTTGAATGTGCTCTGTTTCCTGCCAAGATCCTGACTGATACACTCCCAAACTAGATCTAATTCCTCTCTTCTTTAAATTCCCCCCTTCTTTGGGCACTTCCTGTAGTGTTGGGCTTCCCTATTAGACAAAAGACATCTCTTGAGCACTTATCATCTATCAATCAGTCACTATTCTGGAGGCTAGGGAATACAGTGATGGACAAGACAGATGACGTCTTTGTTACCTTGAACTAGAATAATAAAATGAGCATTAGTAAGTGCTTACCATGTGCCAGGTGCTTTAAAAAGTCCTTTACATGTAGGAAGTCATTTAATCCACACAAGAACTTTGCGGTATATTTGTCAAATAAGGAAAAAGAACCACGGAGAGAGTAAGTAATTTGCTGGAGGTCATACCGCCAAGAAGCAGCAGAGCTGTAATTCTAACCCAGGAGGCCTGACTCCAAATCTCATGCTCTTAACCACATCACTATGTTGTCTCTTACTAGCTTAGCATCCTTTTCAATAACCAGCACATTGCCAATGCTCAGCAAATATTTGTTGCACTGATTTGAGTAAATAGTCCCTTTAGGAAAGGAAGATAGCAATGGGATTATGCTTTTGGTAGTTTCAGCAAAATTTTGATTTCAGCAGCTTTTAAGAAGAGTTTGGTTTTCTTTTGTTTTATTTTCAAGTGTTTATCTGCAGTAGCAGGTGGTAAGAAAAAGATTCTCTTCCCCGTTTAGCTGAGTAAATATCTAGTCATGTGGCTGGATCTTCATCCCAACACAATTATGTGCTCTCATCCTGGGCAGGAGGCAGCCTTGTGACACAGCAATGCTCAGTGGGTAATAGTTGTAGCAAATGTTTAGTTACAACAGAATAGCACCCAACTCTTAATCATTAATAGGAACCCATGCAAGAGTTCACTGCAGCTGTGACTTCTTTTCCTGGTGATTCATTCTGTTTGAAATATAATGTACTCAAAAAGCAGCAAAAACTATAGCTAGAAATCACTGTAATGGTGTTCATGAAAGCTATTGCTAATTTAGGGTCCAATTAAAACTAGAAATCCAATTATTGCTGAATAACATAATTGCAAGAAAGTAACCTGAATTGCACATATGTCAGTAATTAAGGAGGAAGCTTTAATAACAGAATCTATTTGAACTATTTCAAGGAGGGGCCAAAGAGGCTGAGGATTGGCTCCAGGGTGGGTCAGTGCAAGGAATACCCCAGCGGTTGGGTGCTTACAGTAGGCTCCGAATTTTGTCAACATGGTTTGCTTTTACAGCCTAGCTCACGGGGTCCTGGCAAGATAAATGCAGAATTTAAGAGCAGGATAAAATTGATCTCTGAATCCACATCCTATGAAGCATCAAATACACCATGAGCCCTGAAAAATTAAATATTAGAAGGTATTATTTGTTAAACACTTGAGATGCTATAGAAAGCAGTTGGCAAAATAAATGTCAGATATTGTACCTTTACAGTTCAAACTCTGATTTTGACCTTGCTGTTAACTTTACTGCATTGATTCCATTACTTCCAGTGGAGTGGCTAGGCGGGTGAGAGTCTGGGTTTGGAGAGACAGAAACTGGGCCTATCCAGTGTGTCAACACTTGGACACAGGAAGGGGAACATCACACACCGGGGCCTGTTGTGGGGTGGGGGAGGGGGGAGGGAAAGCATTAGGAGGTATACCTAATGTAAATGACGAGTTACTGGGTGCAGCACACCAACATGGCACATGTATACATATGTCACAAACCTGCACGTTGTGCACATGTACCCTAGAACTTAAAGTATAATAATAATAATAATAAAAAGAAAGCAGCCTTGGGTTTTGGCAAGGTCTTGCTGCCCAGCAAACGATGTAGTCCTCTTTATTTGAGTGGTCTGCAGAGGTGGGTAGCAGCATCTCTTACAGAACCCCAGGCAGGTGATTCATTTACTGCAGAGGCAATCAGGTAATGTGAACTCTTACTGAAATATAGTAGGGCTGCAGTTCTTAGAATGCGTGCGTCAGAGTCTCCTAGAGGGCTTGTTACATACATACAGATGCTGGGCCTGACCACCTCAGAGTTTCTGAGTCAGTAGGTCTGGATTAGGGTTAGGGTCTGAGATCTGCATTTTTAATAGGTTCCCAGGTGATGCTGATGATGCTTGCTGGTTTTGGGACTACATATTTTTGAGAACCACTGTGGTAGGGTAGATGTCAGCTGGGTCCAGTGAGGAGGAGCTGGAGTTAGGAGTGTGAAAAGTTTGTTGGAGAGTAAAACCTGTGTGAAGGGGAAGGTCGGAATCAGAAGCCGGGCCGGGCATGGTGGTTTATGGCTGTAATCCCAGCATTTTGAGAGGCTGAGGCAGGAGGATCACTTGAGCCCAGGAGTTCTAGACCAGCCTGGGCAACATGGTGAAACCCTCTCTCTACTAAAAATACAAAAATTAGCCAGACTTGATAGTGCATCCCTGTAGTTCCAGCTACCTGGGAGGCTGAGGCCAGAGGGTCATGGAGGGCAGCTGATTTGGGAGGGGCAAATTAGCTGGCAAAGGTTAGGAAAGGGGTCAGAGGCTTTGCTAATCAGATTGGGGTTTAGAGTATGGCTCCAGCCCCACTGAGCATCAGGTATATGAAACAGATAAGCAACTGTGTACCGCTTAAAAGTAGTAGTGATAATGGGCACCATTTCTTGAGGTCCTACTATGTGCCAGATGGTTTACTTAATTTTAATTTTTGAAGTAGATCTGTGAGGAAGGTGATATCATTCCATTTTACTGAGAAAGAAGCAAGAGCTCTGAGAATTTACATGTATGTTATCCTGTTGCAACTTCAACTCTGTCTGATCCCAAAGCTTGAGTCCACCCAGGAATGAGCGAAGGTGATGTAGGGAGGGGCTGTGGCTCAGGTAACTGTGAGCAGCAAGATGTTTTCAGAAGGATCTGGCGAGGCAGAGACTTCTAACATCTTATGTGTTCCTGTCAGGATTGGCTCAGGACCTCCACAGAGGTGAGTTTTCTGGTAAAGCCCTTACTCGATAACTCTGCTGAGTGTGTGGAGAAATAGGAGCCAAGAGTCACAGCCATTGCCTTATAAATCACAATCCCCAAATGGTAGGCAAACATTTAGTCTTAATCGTAAAGAGGGAAGGTACTTGTATGAGTTTCTCATGGCTGCCATAACAAATTACAGAAAACTGGGTGGCCTGAAACAACAGCAATGTATTCTCTTAAAGTGCTGGAGGACAGAAGTCTTGGATCAAGGTGTTGGCAGGACCATACTTCCTCTGGGGGCTGTAAGGGAGAATCCATTTTTGCCTTTTCAGCTTCCAGTGGCCCCAGGCATTCACTGGCTTCCTTGATGTAAGGCCGCATCACTCCAGCCTCTGCCTCCATCTTCATGTTACCTCTCCTCTATGTGTTTTCTCCTTCTTTGTCTCTTATTAGGACACTAGTCGTTGGGTTTAGGATCCACCTGGGTAATCTAGTTAGATCTTCTCTCAAGATTCTTAATTACATCTTCACTCTTTTTCCGAATAAGGTCACATTCACAGATTCTAGGGGTTTGGATGTCTTTTTGAAGGTCATTATCCAATCTACTACAATCCTCAAATAAATGTTTCCGAGGAAATCAAGGGTAAAAGTTGTTAGAATGTTTACACAAAATAACTTTTGTTTGTGAATGGATGAGATATTTTCTAAAAAGTCATAATTGAGTAGTTTTCTATGGACTCTGAAACCCAGATTTTACAAATAATATTTCTGGTGGGTACTTTCAAAGACGGTCACCAATACTTCCTCCCAACAATTTCTCCCTATCCTTGTGGAAGGATGTCCGCATCCAAAGATATGCTCTATTTTCCTCTCTTTGCACCTGGCCTGACCTTGTGACTTGCTTGGACCAACAGAATGCAGTGAAGGTGACCTTCTGGATTTCTGAGCCTGGGCCTGGCAACTTCTGCTTCACTTCTTGGGAGCCAGCTGCTATGTAAAGAAGACTGAGCAAGACAGCTGAAAGATATGTAGAGAGAGAAGCCAAGACAGTGCCCAGCTATCCCAGTCACACCCACAGACTCACCACATGTATGAGTGAAGCCATCTTGGACTTTCCAGCTGAGCTCCCAGCTAAAGGCAGCTGCAAGGGTGATCCCAGCTGATGCCATGTGAAACAGAAGAACCATCCACCTGAGCCCAGCCAAGGTACCGAATTGAGAAAAATAACAAATTGTTGTTTCAAGTTAGTAACTTCTGAGGCAGTTTGTTGTGTCACAATAGGTACATAAAACAATGCTGTAAATTATGTCATTCAAAAAGTTTAACATGGGCTAAAGGAAATGACACCGTAGAAGCAAAAAAGTGTTTGATAGTGGGAATGAAAGTCTTTAGTGGTTTGCCTTGGACATTGTTCAGGATCTCAAAAGAAAGTATGCAGAGGACACAGAGAACATGAAGCTATGTAGGAGGAAGTGTCTCTCGTCCCTGGTTTTTTTTGGAAGTACAGCCTTAGGGGAAAAATACTATAGACACCATGACTTGGAGTTCTGGTTTTATAATGATAATATTGTGCAAACCTGGAAAAGTCATGCATTGTCTCTGAGCCCCAGTACAGAAACATTTGTGTGGCTGATAATAACCATTACTAATTATGAGGCCCCTGAGGAATGCCAGTTCTGCATATGACTATTTTCATAGCAATCCTAATGAGAGTATTATCCTTATTTTCAGACAAGGAAGCACTGGCTCAGAGAGGATTATAGCTTGCCCCAGATCACACAGAGATGGGGAGAGAAGGGTGGATACAGGTATTCAAACCCCAGGCAATTAACTCCAACATTGTGCTTTTTCTACTGTGCTGTACCCATGGGCTTTCTTCTCCCCTTTTGGCTGGAGGCAGGTAACAGCCAGCCATTTGAGCAGGTCATATGGTCAGTCACCATTCACTGGAGCACATGGGCAGGGGTTCACAGGCATCTGTAAAATCACCCCAGAATGTCTTCTTACTTTAGAGCTTATCCATACATGTCTTTCTCCTCTAGCTGGTTTTTCAGCATCATTTCTGCTTCTCCCTCTCCCATCCCTCTGATGTGTTTGGTTTGAGTTCATAGGTGGGAGTGATGAGGTGGAGGGAGACCTGTGAACAGGGCTAAGAAAGTAGAAACACAAGTTACTGAACAGCTTTGGAGCTAACTGCTAGAGATTTTTATTCTTTGCAATGTTTCTTTTATCTATCACCCCCTTGAGCATTCTGTCTTTACCCTGGTTTGGCCTGGCACCATCTTTAGCAAGGAGCTCCTTATCTGGCTACCCCTCAGTCTCTCCATCATCCTGTTTATCCTTCCCACAGCCACCAGAGTTGTCTTCCTACGCACAAGTTCGACAATGTCATTTGCTTGTTCAGAAAATTTTCATGGCTTTTCATTGCCTATGGAATAAAGAAAAAAATTTTAAAAATGTAGGATGTGAATAACATGTATTTATGGCTCATAGTAAGTATATTTACTAGCTGAAATAAACAGAATGTACAAAAAACAGCATCCATTTTGTTCTATTCTGTTTGGCTCTGCAGTATCTGAAGCTACATATGCCAGAGTCCCCCTGCTTGGGATGGAGGAGAGCTGTTTTACTCCCAACACAGTCCAGACAAGGCTAACCATGTGAGTTTGTTTATGCTAGCTTAAGTCCCCCTGTGAGATGCCGACCCTAGCTTGTGGAGAATCCTATGAAGCATTTCATTTTTTTTTTTTTTGGAAAGAAAGTATTAATGAAATACTTGTTTTGTGCATTATTGTTATTGTCATTATGATTATATCCACTCTTGACTAAAAGAGAGTACAAGAAACTATTGCTCACTTGCCTTCTATGTGGGGGGAATGGGCAATCCCTGCCTTTTTCCTATCTCTCTTTGACTTTGCTATACACATTCACATTTAATTTTGAGTAACACTGGGTTTGATCTAGAATTCACTTCTAACAAATGATGGAAGTCTTTTGGTAAAGACTCCGTTCAGGAAGTTTTTAAAAAATATTTATTTATTTATATTGTACTTTAAGTCCTGGGGTACATGTGCAGAATGTGCAGGTTTGTTACATAGGTATACATGTGCTATGGTGGTTTGCTGCACCCATCAACCCATCATCTACATTAGGTATTTCTTCTAATGCTATCCCTCTCCTAGGCCCCCACCCTCCAACAGGCTCCATGTGTGATGTTCCCTTCCCTGTGTCCATGTGTTCTCACTGTTCAACTTCCACTTATAAGTGAGAATATGTGGTGTTTGGTTTTCTGTTCTTGTGTTAGTCTGCTGAGAATGATGGTTTCCAGCTTCATCCATGTCCCTACAAAGGACATGAACTCATCCTTTTTTATGCCTGCATAGTATTCCATGGTGTATACGTGCCACATTTTCTTTATCCAGTCTATCATTGATGGGCATTTGGGTTGGTTCCAAGTCTTTGCTATTGTGAATAGTGCCGGAATAAACATGCATGTGCATATGTCTTTATAGTAGAATGATTTATAATCCTTTGGGTATATACCCAGTAATGGGATTGCTGAGTCAAATGGTATTTCTGGTTCTAGATCCTTGAGGAATCGCCACACTGTCTTCCACAATGGTTGAACTAATTTACACTCCTTCCAACAATGTAAAAGTGTTCCTATTTCTCCACATCCTCTCCAGCATCTGTTGTTTCCTGACTTTTTAATGATCACCATTCTAACTGGTGTGAGATGGTATCTCATTGTGGTTTTGATTTGCATTTCTCTAATGACCAGTGATGATGAGCTTTTTTTCATATGTTTGTTTGGCTGCATAAATGTCTTCTTTTGAGAAGTGTCTGTTCATATCCTTTGCCCACTTTTTGATGGGGTTGTTTGTTTTTTTCTTGTAAATTTGTTTAAGTTCTTTGTATATTCTGGATATTAGCCCTTTGTCAGATGGATAGACTGCAAGATTTCTCTCCCATTCTGTAGGTTGCCTGTTCACTCTGATGATAGTTTCTTTTGCTGTGCAGAAGCTCTTTAGTTTAATTAGATCTCTCATTTGTTAATTTTGACTTTTGTTGCCATTGCTTTTGGTGTTTTAGTCATGAAGTGTTTGCCCATGCCTTTGTCCTGAATGGTATTGCCTAGGTTTTCTTCTAGGGTTTTTATGGTTTTAGGTCTTACATTTAAATCTTTAATCCATCTTGAGTTGATTTTTGTATAAGGTGTAAGGAAGGGGTCCAGTTTCAGTTTTCTGCATATGGCTAGCCAGTTTTCCCAGCACCATTTATTAAATAGGAAATCCTTTCCCCATTGCTTGTTTTTTGTCAGGCTTGTCAAAAATCAGATGGTTGTAGTTGTTTGGCGTTATTTCTGAGGCCTCTGTTCTGTTCCGTTGGTCTATATATATATCTGTTTTGGTACCAGTACAATGCTGTTTTCGTTACTGTAGCCTTATAGTATAGTTTGAAGTCAGGTAGCGTGATGCCTCCAGCTTTTTTCCTTTTTGCTTAGGATTGTCTTGGCTATGTGGGCTCTCTTTTTGGTTCCATATGAAATTTACAGTAGTTTTTTCTAATTCTGTGAAGAATGTCAATGGTAGTTTGATGGGGATAGCATTGAATCTATGAAGTATTTTGGGCAGTATGGCCATTTTCATGATATTGAATAAGCTGGTTGTTCTTCAAACAAATGAATACATAAGGGGTATGTTAACCAGAGATGTCCTTGTTCAAACCTTCTCTGGAGCAGGGATGCCCATGTGGATTTTAGTGGGCTTTCATGCTGGGTAAAAGCCCCTCCAGTGAGCAGAGAGAAAATGATCGTCACTAATATCCAAAGATTAACTCTAGGCTGGTGTTGCCACAAAAATATACCAACAATGCTAGTAATTTTTGTTTTGAGACAGGATCTCACTCTGTTGCCCAGTGGGGAATACAGTGGCGTGATCGTAGCTCACTGCAGCCTTGAACTCCTGGGTTCAAGCAATCTTCCTGTCTCAGGTTCTCAGGTGGCTGGGATGACAGGCAACAAGTCACTTTGATTGTTTAATTTGCAAAGAGAAGCTGCCCTGAAAATCCCACTTCTCTGGTGTGTTTTGTTTTAGTTCATAGGTGGGAGTGATGGGGTGGAGGGAGACCTGTGTGCAGGGATAAGAAAGTAGAAATACAACCTGCTAAATAGCTTTGCATTCAAAAGCAATGGGTGCAAAAGGAACAGAATTTTGTGATGTCTTATCATCTATTCTAGGTTTCTCCAGACTTTTCAATACCAAGGACCTGTTTCTTAATTGACACTTCTCTCATGTACTCAGGCTTTAAAATACTTTGTCTACAAAATGTCTTTATTAAGCGAAAAATAATATTTATTTTATTAAATAACAACATGTGATTGTCAATCAGATGTCTGATGAATGTGAGTTGGTACAATTGCCGCCAAAAGCAGATAAACTTTTTGTTGTTGTTGTTGGCACTTGTGCAGATGTATCATTTGATTTTTGTTGGACTTTTAGAAACATAAAAATACCTAAGGGCCACCATTTTCACTTACCCAAATTTCTGTGAGTCCAAGAAACTTATTACTAGGTTATTTTATAATCTTTCTAGATACGAAGTGACTGTCTTAAAATATTAAAAATGGTTAAGTGTACAATCTTGGGTGTTACAAAGTTATTTGATGGACTTCTGCTGAATGCTGGCCAAAGACAACCCAAAGATAACTGAACTATGAGCACTTAAAAATAATCTGTGCCAACCTGTCAGAAGAAATTTATAATTTCATTTCTAGAAATAAGATAAAGAAATGAAACAAAGTCTAATTCCGGTGTGTAAATTAGGGAAATCAACTTCTAGTTTGGTCCTGAATGAGCTGCTTTCTATTTGACATACTCAGGAGTGAGGTCTTCCCTTTCATACACATTGTGAAATAATTGCTCTGGTGGAAATCAGAAACATACAATGTAACATATTAGTTTTACTCAATGATTCTTGAAAGGTGATACCTCAATTAACAAATCCTCAGGGAAAGAGGCAGTGTTGAAATAAATATGCTCCAATCTCCTTCATAAATCAAGCCAGGCAGAACTGCCTCTAGGCATTGGCAAGACAAAAAAAACTGAGCAGAGTGGCTTTTAGCCCTGCCCAGATGTAAGCAAACAGGGCTACCCCTTGGCAAATTTATAAAATGTTTCAAAGTTCTGTTTCTCTACCTTTTACTTTCTGTTACCCTTTAACAGGCTGCCCTCTTTCTGGCTTAAGGAACTCCATACCTTTTTTTTTTTCCATCAGAAATTGGTTTTGTATCCATTGTATTTGTTGATTAATACACAGAATGTTAATTTAATGTGAACGAATTTTAATTGATGTGGTAAACCAAACAAGTCCTTTGAATTCAAGCCTTTTATAAATACAAGCTTTATGAATCCTTGGGCTCTGAGTTGCTCACTGCAGCAGCCCAAGCATCTAGCTCAGTTCCTGGCAGGCAAATCACAGATGGTGGTTGAATGAATAATGAAAGACTTGTTTCCTTTGCACTTGAAGGAATCCAAGCTGAAGGAGTGAGAGAGGGAAAGGCTTGGGTGGGGTGGGGAAGCAGGGGAGGCTTAGTGCAGTGGGTGAATTGAAATCTTAGTAGGTCTCCTCTGAGAATAACCTTGACTTAGTTCCTCCAGGGTATCTGATAGATATGTCAGAAATGGGTGGGTTTCTTCCTGTTTGTCCCATACCCCAGCTTTTTTGTGTCTCTGTAGAAAACAAGGAGGGACTGTGGCTCCTGGGGGCAGAGGTGCTTGTACTTCCTTTTATAGTTATTTAGCTCAGCTACCTAACTTGCTGGGTCCAGGGTTAAATGAAAAATGAGGGGCCCCTTGTTCAAAGATTATTAAGAATTTCATGCCCTCATACAGTGCTCGTTGGAATGCAAAATGATGTGGCCACTTTGGAAAAGAATCTGGCAGTTCCTTAAAATTTAAACTGAGTTACCATATGATCCAGCAATTCTACTCCTAGGTATAGACCTGAGAGAATTGAAAACATGTTTACACAAAAACCTATACATGGATGTTCATAACATCATTATTTATAATAGCCAAAAAGTACAAACAACCTCATGTCCATTAACTGATGAATGAACAAACACAATGTAGTATAGCTATGCAACGGGATATTTTATACATTTTATCCATACAATGGAATATTATTCAGCAACAAAAGGTAATGATGAAATGCTGATACATGCTACAAGGCATTTGACGCCTGAAAACGTTATGCTAAGTGACAGAAACCAGATACAAATGGCCACATATTGTGAGATTACCTTTATGTGAAATGCCCCCAAATTGGCAAATCTATAGAGGCCTAAAATAGATGAGCGGTTTCCAGGGTCTGGGGGGAATGGGGGAGTGGGGAGTGACTGCTAATGGGTGCAAGATTTCCATCTGGAGTGATGAAAAGGTTCTGAAATAAGATAGTGGTGATAGTTGCACAACCTTGTGAATATATGTAAAAAAAAGACGAATTACACACTTTAAAGGGTGATTTTTATGGTATGTAAATTATATCTCAATGAAAGCATTACAAATTTCAAGACAGCAGTAGCAGAGCATTAAAGGAGCCTTGAGCCCTTCTGAGTTCAGGTCTCTGCGCAATTGTACCAATGTACACTCATGCAGCCGACCTTGCCTTCGGTCTCTTAAGCCCTCTCACTCTTTGCCTCCTCTCTTCCTAACTCATGTTGCATATTTTCTTCCACATTTAATGCTGTGTTAACTAACACATGGCATGTAAAGCAATTGAGGATACAGTGATTGACTATCCCAGTTAGCCAGGGATTGAGGGATTGAGGGATTTCCCGGGAGGTGGGACTTTCAATGCTAAAACTGGGAAAAATTCCAGGCAAATTGGGAGGAGTTTGTCACTCTAGTGGTGCATAAACATTATTTTACATAATCATTTCTCCCAATTGAAATCCTGAAACACATCTCCAGGTCTCTGATTTCTACCAGTGATGATGGGAGTGTGGTGTGCAGCATTGGTCCTGGGCCCTATAGTCACTTTATTTGTTTGGTAGAAATTCAGAATTTCAGGCCCCTCCCAGGCCTATTGAATCAGAACCTACATTGTAACTAGATCCCCAAGTGACTCACATGTACTTTAAAGATCTGTGCCCTGAGGTGGAGGACAAATGATGGCTGAGCAGAGAGAAGATCTGGGCTCTGGTCCCGGATTTGGCACTAGTTTGGCTGTGTAAACTCAGACAAGTTGCTTAACCTCTCTGGACCTTAGTGTCTTCATTCATGGAACACAGAAGTTGGATTCTTACAGTAGTGATTAGTGAACACATAAATATTTGTTATATGCATCTGGATTTGAACAACCCAGACCTACTTAACTCCTAAATTAGAAAACTCTCCTTTGATCATTTACTAGCTTTGTAACTTTGATCAGATGACTTTCAGTTTTCTCATGAGGGGTTATTGTGAAGAATAAGAAAAACAGCATTTACAAAGTGGCTGGCTCAGGGTAGACTCTCTTTAAATGGTAGTTGTTATTTTTTGTTTTCCTAAAATCTAAGCTTCTGATAAGACTGTACATTAGAATACATCCTCACGAAAAGAACTGGATCTGGATATCCTTTTTGTTACTGGAAGAATCCTTGTGTCTGGAGTTGAAAAGCATGTAGACTCTTAGGTGAAAGAATGTATTTGACTCCTGATTCCTTTTTATTTAGATGATTTTTAGCTTGGAGATTTCCTACAAGTCCAGTCTGCATCTACTCAGCACCTAAATCTTGTGTCTTAGGATAGAGCTATCAGTTACAAGGAAAAACATCAGGAAAAACATCTGCAAACAGGATACATCAATATGGTTTTCATGGTTAAGCAAGCTAAGCTTTGATCTTTGGAAAACAATGGTGACTGAAGTTCAGAGCTTGAGGTTTTCTGTGCAGGCTGGATTTTCCCAGTTAACAGAGGCACGCGACAGTTCTGAATCTATAAAGTCTTTGTTGGATATTTTTTGTTGTTCTTTGGTCCCAGCACTCCATCAGATTTACATGTGGGAGATATAATTAGCCATAGACTGATTGCAAAGTATCAGCCATAATTTAAAAATATGAATTAACATAAAATGGCAAGCATTAAAAGTTAATGTTAACTTGATGCTCATTTATTTTTGCATCCAAATGAGCCTTATTAAGTTACTCAGTCCATCTAAACATCAGGGTTTTTTTTCTCATATGCCAAGTTGTGTTAACAATTTCTTATTCTAAATGCTGATAACACTTTTGAAATGCGCAGGTCCAGTCTGCTGTTGATAATCAATTTTCAGCTTCTTCTGTGACCTGGTTTAAACTGACATCACTATACCGTTTGGCATCTTAAAGTCCTGAGTACTTTTTAAAGGGCTTTCTAATGGAAATTATATTTTGACTGTCAAGGCCCTGTGGTTTCCTTCACTGTCAGCATGATCAATAACTTTGGGCAGGTGGATGGAGTGCAGATGGGGATGGAATGTATGGAAATATAGCAGGCCTGTTAGATGTGGGCTTAAATAAGCAAATCAAGCCAATTGGCTTAGAATTATGATGGTTGGCTTTCTAATGCATATTCAGGGAAGGCTGAAAAAAATGTATGAAATTTAATTGTACCATAAAGCTGTCACCAGAAAATATATACTGAATATCAAGCAGGGTAACATGTCTTCTGGAGAGTTAATCTGTGAAAGCTAAAAAAATTCAAAGAATGTTATAGTTGAATAAGCAATAGGAAGAAATAGGTGGTGCTAGGGAACAGTTTTCAGAACAACGAACAAATTGCACAAACTCAAATTTAATGAATGAAGCACAATTGATGGCTTATTGTCATTAGCAATTTCCCTATTGAATATGTAGAAAAATTTGGGAAAAAAGAGTGTAAAAAGTGAGGCAATTTTAACATTTTCTATGCCAAAAATTTAAGACAATGTCTCCACAATATTTTAGATTATCATTAATGTTGTAATACTAGATGCTTTAGTATCAATGAGTGGAGTTTTGCTACTTTATAGTGAAAATCAGTGTTTCTGTAAGCCAGACTGAAAATCCCTGATACTTTATCTAGTAGGGAGATTGCTTCTCAAACTTCAATGTGCGTATGAATCACCTGCGGATCTTAAGGTATAGATTTTTTTGGTATTTTTTTATGGAGGTAAAATTCACATAACATAAAATTAATCATTAACCATTTTAAAGTGCACAACTCAGTGGCATTTAATATATTTACAGTGTTGTGCAACCATCACCTCTATTTAGTTCCAAGACATTTTTTCCTTCAAGGAATCTCTGCATCCATCAAGCAGTCACTCCTCATTCCTCCCTTGCCCTCAGCTCCTGACCACCACCCGTCTGCTTTCTGTTGCCATGGATTTGCCTGGTCTTGATGCTTCAGATAAATAAAGCCATACAGTACTTGACCTTTCATATTCTGGCTTCTTTCACTAAAATGTGGATTGTGATTCTGAAAGTTTGGGGACAGAGGCTGATTTTCTTGCATTTTTAACTCTCTCTCAGATGATGCTGATGCTGCTGGTGTATGGATCTTGGATGAGGCTGCATCTCCTGGGTGGAGGTGCTGCAGCCCAGTGAGCATCAGGGAAGACTGGAGCACTGATTCTCTGACTTCCTGTTGAACCACTGATAGGATCAAGCGGACTTGTTGGCTTATTGGTGCTCAGAGATATTGAGGATCCCCAGTAGATCCTTTTCACAGAATTGTGTAAAACTTCAGAACATGGGGGGAGGGCAGCCAAGATGGCCAAATAGGAATAGCTCCGGTCTACAGCTCCCAGCGTGAGCGACGCAGAAGATGGGTGATTTCTGCATTTCCATCTGAGGTACAAGGTTCATCTCACTAGGGAGTGCCAGACAGTGGGCACAGGACAGTGGGTGCAGCGCACCGTGTGCGAGCCGAAGCAGGGTGAGGCATTGCCTCACTCGGGAAGTGCAAGGGGTCAGGGAGTTCCCTTTCCTAGTCAAAGAAAGGGGTGACAGACAGCACCTGGAAAATCGGGTCACTCCCACCCCAATACTGCGCTTTTCGGATGGGCTTAAAAAACAGCGCACCAGGAGATTATATCCCGCACCTGGCTTGGAGGGTCCTACGCCCACGGAGTCTCGCTGATTGCTAGCACAGCAGTCTGAGATCAAACTGCAAGGCGGCAGTGAGGCTGGGGAAGGGGCACCCGCCATTGCCGAGGCTCGCTTAGGTAAACAAAGCAGCCGGGAAGCTCGAACTTGGTGGAGCCCACCACAGCTCAAGAAGGCCTGCCTGCCTCTTTAGGCTCCACCTCTGGGGGCAGGGCACAGACAAACAAAAAGACAGCAGTAACCTCTGCAGACTTAAATGTCCCTGTCTGACAGCTTTGAAGAGAGCAGTGTTTCTCCCAGTATGCAGCTGGAGATCTGAGAACGGGCAGACTGCCTCCTCAAGTGGGTCCTTGACCCCTGAACCCCGAGCAGCCTAACTGGGAGGCACCCCCAGTAGGGGCAGACTGACACCTCACACGGCCGGGTACTCCTCTGAGACAAAACTTCCAGAGGAACGATCAGACAGCAGCATTCGCGGTTCATGAAAATCCACTGTTCTGCAGCCACCGCTGCTGGTACCCAGGCAAACAGGGTCTGGAGTGGACTTCTAGCAAACTCCAACAGACCTGCAGCTGAGGGTCCTGTCTGGTAGAAGGAAAACTAACAAACAGAAAGGGCATCCACACCAAAAACCCATCTGTATGTCACCATCATAAAAGACCAAAGGTAGCTAAAAACATAAAGATGGGAAAAAAAAAACAGAGCAGAAAAACTGGAAACTCTAAAAAGCAGAGCACCTCTCCTCCTCCAAAGGAACGCAGTTCCTCACCAGCAATGGAGCAAAGCTGGATGGAGAATGACTTTGACGAGTTGAGAGAAGAAGGCTTCAGATGATCAAACTACTCCGAGCTATGGGCGGAAATTCAAACCAAAGGCAAAGAAGTTGAAAACTTTGAAAAAAAATTTAGACGAATGTGTAACTAGAATAACCAATACAGAGAAGTGCTTAAAGGAGCTGATGGAGCTGAAAGCCAAGGCTTGAGAACTACGTGAAGAATGCAGAAGCCTCAGGAGCCGATGCGATCAACTGGAAGAAAGGGTATCAGTGATGGAAGATCAAATGAATGAAATGAAGTGAGAAGGGAAGTTTAGAGAAAAAAGAATAAAAAGAAACAAACAAAGCCTCCAAGAAATATGGGACTATGTGAAAAGACCAAATCTACGTCTGATTGATGTACCTGAAAGTGACGGGGAGACCAAGTTTTCCAACCAAGTTGGAAAACACTCTGCAGGATGTTATCCAGGAGAACTTCCCCAATCTAGCAAGGCAGGCCAACATTCAGATTCAGGAAATACAGAGAACGCCACAAAGATACTCCTCGAGAAGAGCAACTCCAAGACACATAATTGTCAGATTCACCAAAGTTGAAATGAAGGAAAAAATGTTAAGGGCAGCCAGAGAGAAAGGTCGGGTTACCCACAAAGGGAAGCCCATCAGACTAACAGTGGATCTCTCGGCAGAAACTCTACAAGCCAGAAGAGAGTGGGGGCCAATATTCAACATTCTTAAAGAAAAGAATTTTCAACCCAGAATTTCATATCCAGCCAAACTAAGCTTCATAACTGAAGGAGAAATAAAATACTTTACAGACAGGCAAATGCTGAGAGATTTTGTCACCACCAGGCCTGCCCTAAAAGAGCTCCTGAAGGAAGCACTAAACATGGAAAGGAACAACCGGTACCAGCTGCTGCAAAATAATGCCAAAATGTAAAGACCATCGAGACTAGGAAGAAACTGCATCAACTAACGAGCAAAAGAAACAGGTAACATCATAATGACTGGATCAAATTCACACATAACAATATTAACTTTAAATGTAAATGGACTAAATGCTCCAATTAAAAGACACAGACTGGCAAATTGGATAAAGAGTCAAGACTCATCAGTGTGCTGTATTCAGGAAACCCATCTCACGTGCAGAGACACACATAGGCTCAAAATAAAAGGATGGAGGAAGATCTACCAAGCAAATGGAAAACAAAAAAAGGCAGGGGTTGCAATCCTAGTCTCTGATAAAACAGACTTTAAACCAACAAAGATCAAAAGAGACAAAGAAGGCCATTACATAATGGTAAAGGGATCAATTCAACAAGAAGAGCTAACTATCCTAAATATATATGCACCCAATACAGGAGCACCCAGATTCATAAAGCAAGTCCTGAGTGACCTACAAAGAGACTTAGACTTCCACACAATAATAATGGGAGACTTCAACACCCCACTGTCAACATTAGACAGATCAACGAGACTGAAAGTTAACAAGGATACCCAAGAATTGAACTCAGCTCTGCACCAAGTGGACCTAATAGACATCTACAGAACTCTCCACCCCAAATCAACAGAATATACATTTTGTTCAGCACCACACCACACCTATTCCAAAATTGACCACATAGTTGGAAGTAAAGCTCTCCTTAGCAAATGTAAAAGAACAGAAATTATAACAAACTATCTCTCAGACCACAGTGCAATCAAACTAGAACTCAGGATTAAGAAACTCACTCAAAACTGCTCAACTACATGGAAACTGAACAACCTGCTCCTAAATGACTACTGGGTACATATTGAAATGAAGGCAGAAATAAAGATGTTCTTTGAAACCAATGAGAACAAAGACACAACATACCAGAATCTCTGGGACACATTCAAAGCAATATGTAGAGGGAAATTTATACCACTAAATGCCCACAAGAGAAAGCAGGAAAGATCCAAAATTGATACCCTAACATCACAATTAAAAGAACTAGAAAAGCAAGAGCAAACACATTCAAAAGCTAGCAGAAGGCAAAAAATAACTAAAATCAGAGCAGAACTGAAGGAAATAGAGACACAAAAAACCCTTCAAAAAATTAATGAATCCAGGAGCTGGTTTTTTGAAAGGATCAACAAAATTGATAGACCGCTAGCAAGACTAATAAAGAAAAAAGAGAGAAGAATCAAATAGACACAATAAAAAAATGATAAAGGGGATATCACCACCAATCCCACAGAAATACAAACTACCATCAGAGAATATTACAAACACCTCTACGCAAATAAACTAGAAAATCTGGAAGAAATGGATAAATTCTTCGACACATACACCCTCCCAAGACTAAACCAGGAAGAAGTTGAATCTCAGAATACACCAATAACAGGCTCTGAAATTGTGGCAACAATCAATAGCTTACTAACCAAAAAGAGTCCAGGACCAGATGGATTCACAGTCAAATTCTACCAGAGGTACAAGGAGGAACCGGTACCATTCCTTCTGAAACTATTCCAATCAATAGAAAAAGAGGGAGTCCTCTCTAACTCATTTTATGAGGCCAGCATCATCCTGATACTAAAGCTGGGCAGAGACACAACCAAAAAAGAGAATTTTAGACCAATATCCTTGATGAACATAGATGCAAAAATCCTCAATAAAATACTGGCAAACCGAATCCAGCAGCACATCAAAAAGCTTATCTACCATGTTCAAGTGGGCTTCATCCCTGGGATGCAAGGCTGGTTCAATATACACAAATCAATAAATGTAATCCAGCATATAAACAGAACCAAAGACAAAAACCACATGATTATCTCAATAGATGCAGAAAAGGCCTTTGACAAAATTCAACAACTCTTCATGCTAAAAAGTCTCAATAAATTAGGTATTGATGGGTCATATCTCAAAATAATAAGGGCTATCTATGACAAACCCACAGCCAATATCATACTGAATGGGCAAAAACTGGAAGCATTCCCTTTGAAAACTGGCACAAGACAGGGATGCCCTCTCTCACCACTCCTATTCAACATAGTGTTGGAAGTTCTGGCCAGGGCAATCAGGCAGGAGAAGGAAATAAAGGGTATTCAATTAGGAAAAGAGGAAGTCAAATTGTCCCTGTTTGTAGATGACATGATTATATATCTAGAAAACCCCGTTGTCTCAGCCCAAAATCTCCTTAAGCTGATAAGCAACTTCAGCAAAGTCTCAGGATACAAAATCAATGTACAAAAATCACAAGCATTCTTATACACCAATAACAGACAAACAGAGGGCCAAATCATGAGTGAACTCCCATTCACAATTGCTTCCAAGAGAACAAAATACCTAGGAATCCAACTTACAAGGGACGTGAAGGACCTCTTCAAGGAGAACTACAAACCACTGCTCAATGAAATAAAAAAGGATACAAACAAATGGAAGAACATTCCATGCTCATGGGTAGGAAGAATCAATATCATGAAAATGGCCATACTGCCCAGGGTAATTTATAGATTCAATGCCATCCCCATCAAGCTACCAATGACTTTCTTCACAGAATTGGAAAAAACTACTTTAAAGTTCATATGGAACCAAAAAAGAGCCCACTTCGCCAAGTCAATCCTAAGCCAAAAGAACAAAGCTGGAGGCATCACGCTACCTGACTTCAAACTATGCTACAAGGCTACAGTAACCAAAACAGCATGGTACTGGTACCAAAACAGAGATATAGATCAATGGAACAGAACAGAGCCCTCAGAAATAACGCCGCATATCTACAACTATCTGATCTTTGACAAACCTGAGAAAAACAAGCAATGGGGAAAGGATTCCCTATTTAATAAATGGTGCTGGGAAAACTGGCTCACCATATGTAGAAAGCTGAAACTGGATCCCTTCCTTACACCTTATACGAAAATTAATTCAAAATGGATTAAAGACTTAAATGTTAGACCTAAAACCATAAAAACCCTAGAAGAAAACCTAGGCAATACCATTCAGGACATAGGCATGGGCAAGGACTTCATGTCTAAAACACCAAAAGCAATGGCAACAAAAGCCAAAATAGACAAATGGGATCTAATTAAACTAAAGAGCTTCTGCACAGCAAAAGAAACTACCATCAGAGTGAACAGGCAACCTACAACATGGGAGAAAATTTTTGCAACTTACTCATCTGACAAAGGGCTAATATCCAGAATCTACAATGAACTCAAACAAATTTACAAGAAAAAAACAAACAACCCCATCAAAAAGTAGGCAAAGGATATGAACAGACACTTCTCAAAAGAAGACATTTATGCAGACAAAAAACACATGAAAAAATGCTCACCATCACTTGCCATCAGAGAAATGCAAATCAAAACCACAACGAGATACCATCTCACAGCAGTTAGAATGGCAATCATTAAAAAGTCAGGAAACAACAGGTGCTGGAGAGGATGTGGAGAAATAGGAACACTTTTACACTGTTGGTGGGACTGTAAACTAGTTCAAGCATTGTGGAAGTCAGTGTGGCGATTCCTCAGGGATCTAGAACTAGAAGTACCATTTGACCCAGCCATCCCATTACTGGGTTTATAACCAAAGGATTATAAATCATGCTGCTATAAAGACACATGCACACGTATGTTTATTGTGGCACTATTCACAGTAGCAAAGACTTGGAACCAACCCAAATGTCCAACAATGATAGACTGGATTAAGAAAATGTGGCACATATACACCATGGAATACTATGCAGGCATAAAAAACGATGAGTTCATGTCCTTTGTAGGGACATGGATGAAATTGGAAATCATCATTCTCAGTAAACTATCACAAGGACAAAAAACCAAACACCGCATGTTCTCACTCATAGGTGGGAATTGAACAATGGGAACACATGGACACAGGAAGGGGAACATCACACTCTGGGGACTGTTGTGGGGTGGGAGAGTGGGGAGGGATAGCATTAGGAGATACATCTAATGCTAAATGACGAGTTAATGGGTGCAGCACACCAGCATGGCACATGTATACATATATAACTAACCTGCACATTGTGCACATGTACCCTAAAACTTAAAGTATAATAATAATAAAATAAAAAAATAAAAACTTCAGAACATATACATTGTCATTTATGCTTTATTTTGTCAAATTATTTTTGCCATCTGTATCAGAGTTGGCAAACTGTGGCCTGGGCATCAAATCCAGCCCACTGTCAGTTTTTATAAAGCCCGCCAACCAAGAATGGCTTTTATTTTTTAAAAAAATGGTTGAAGAACAATCAAAAGAATAGTAATATTTTATGGCACATGAGCATTATATAAAACTTAAATTTCTGTGTTCACAGATAAAGTTTTATTGAAAGACAGCCAAGCTCATTTGTTTACATATTGTCTATGGCTGCTTTCATGATACAACAGCAGAGTTGACGGAGACCATATGGCCCACAAAACCAAAAATATTTACTGTCTGGTCTTTTTCAGACAAAGTTTGCTAACCCCTTATGTATATGATGACTTCAGCCTGTAAGTACAGAATAAAGACAGTGAGATAAGCTACAAAGTCCTCATGAAGAGAAAAGGCATGCACTATCAGGCATATAAACCGGAAGTTAAACATTACTAGAAAAAAAATCAGCTCATAGAGATGAGTTTTACAAAGCAGAGCTTTAAAAAAAGTTCTAATTTCCTAGTCAAAACAAAGAGCTAAAAATCAGATTTCTGCTCTTGACCAAGCATTAAAACCTTTTTTCTTTTTTCCTTCTCTCTTTTTTTTTTTAAGCTACTCTTGGCCATCTCTTGTGAGCCGCCTCATATTTCCATGGCTGTAAAGCTGTATGTGAAAATGTCAAGTGCTTTTTAAGAATGGATTTTACACTTGCCATTTTCAAGTGCAGTAGATTTACACTTCAAAAAGTCAGATACGACTTCATAATTGAATTGCACCTGATCTTTTCAAGTGCGAGGCCCTGGAACTTGGCATCAAGGACAAGCTCAGAACTAGACTCAGTTTTTAGAGGTGAAGTCTATCCTGCATTCAGGCCTTTAAAGTGAATAACAGATGACTTATGCAGTTGAAATACTTTTGCATTCCAGCCTAAATTATTGATGGAGGTTCACAATGTTAATTTTCCTGGTTTATTTTTTGATATTAAAGAAATTATGGGCTGGGTGACCTAGGATTTGTGATACACCCACATCTGACTGGCAGAGCCACTAGGGTAATTTCTAAGGAGATGATAGTTTAAGCTTTAAGGATTGTCTCAGGTTTTCATACCTAAAAGATGAATGGACTAGAGACTGCCATTATGAAAAGCCCAAGGTTGCCCCCAAGAAACGTTCAGTGGAAGTTACTGACTGTACTCAGGATGTCCATCATTGAGAAGGCAAACATGAACACACATTTAAACTTTCACAAAGATGTAGTCTTTGTGTCTCTTGAAGAATAAAAAGGAATGTATATAAATCCCGAGGTTCTAGAAAACTTTTTTTAAAGGAACAAATCAAAATAAATGAAACACGGTTTTTTCTGACTCACAAAAAAGACCTGTTAGCCCGATATTTTGGCAAAATTTGCATTCTTTACATTAAGGAAATGCACTGACTTGAGTTTTGTATCCTTATTTGCTTCTGATATCTTAGAAGAAGATTGCATATAAATTTTTCTAAGGCATAGTTACATGTAAAGTATGAAAATATTTGTAAATGTGCCCTAAAGATATACCTTTCTTTAGGACATTTGTGCATATTTGTAAAATCTGCAAGTTCTATATAGTTATTCCTTCTGCAAAACATGATGAATGATATTTGAAATTCAGAGGAAGCAGTGGATGAAAGAAGCATAAAGTCTCCCGGCAAATGGAGAGCAGAAGTTACACCAACAAGTTCTCTTCTGTGTCCTCCTAATGCTCCCGATAGGGAGTTAGTCAAACTGGAAGGTCTGAGTTCTCCACAGGACCACCCTCACATCTGATGCCAACTGCAAGTTTAGGGGGTTCCCTAAACCATCCCCTGATTCCATAATTCACTAGAAAGTCTCACAGCACTCACTGAAACTGACAATACTCGTGGTTATGGTTTATTACAGGAAAGGATACAGGTTAAAATCAGCCAAAGAAAGAGACCTATAGGGCAGAGTTTGGGGGTTCCAATCATGAAGGTTTTGTTGTCCTCAGCATGTATTGCCCGCCTAGTATCAATGTGTGTCAATATACATGGAGTATTGCCAACCAGGGAAGCTCACATGAGCCCATGTGGTTGAAGTCAGTCACCAGGTGGACTGACACAATATGACCCAATGCTGCCCCTTAAATCACGTGGTTGGTCTTGTTGGCATGGCCAGCCTCCAAACTAAGACTGTTAGGTGTGGCCACTGGGTATGACACAGATGACTTCCCAGAAGCTGAGGGCAAGGGCCAGACCTCTCTTTGGGTAAAACCCCATTTTATACTGCAGACTTCCCTTTCAAAATAAAAACAAAAAAAAATTTTTTAGAGGGGGCAGTAACCTCAAAGTGTTACCAACCTTTGGGATAACTGTTCTCCTATACTTCCTTAAGCACTTTGTTTTATAGTTGAAATTAGTAAGTGAATGGAGAAGAATGAGAGTTCTTCAGTCCCTAAGACCCTCATCCATATACCAAAGAAAGGAGTTTTGTTATTTATTTAGAGAAGAGTAAGACTTTTTATTCTAGATAGTTTCAAAGAGAAAACAAATTACAATAAAAAATATAGAGATCATCTACTGTTCTATATTCATCAGGATTACTTGTTCAAAAGAAAATACAAATTAAGCTTTTATCCTTTTCATTGCTGACAACTTTTTGAGACTAATGTCATTGTTTCAAATGGTAATACATACTTATTATAAAAACATCAAACAATAGATACAGTAAAAAAGAATAAAGATGCACTCATTAAATATTTCAGTATCCAGAGATAACCATGTTAATAATTCTATTTCTTATCAATTTTAACAAACTTTATTCTTTTTATTTACTTTCTTGTCTGTTTTCTTTATCATATCATGAGCTTTCTGAGGGCAGGGACCAAGTCTCTTTTGTTTAACCACTGAATCACTAACCAATTACAGCATAGTGTCTGGCACAATCTCCAGAGATTTGCTTAATCAATGATCAGTGAACATCCATTTAGTCATATTATTCGTATATGCACACAGATACATAGATAGCTATAGAATGTAAGATCCATCGAGTCAGAGCTTTTTGCATGTTTTGTTTCACTTGTATATTTCACTTGTCCAGAACAGAGGTCAGCAAATTAACCACCAGGAGCTGAATGCATCCAGCAGCCTAGATTTTGTGAGTAAAGCTTTGTTGGAACATAGGTGCACCCATTTATTTACACATCACCAATGGCTGTTTTCATATGACAGTGGCAGGGTTGAGCAGCTGCATAGGGGCCTTGTGGCCTACAAAGCCTAAAGTATTTACTATGTGGACTTCCATGGAAAACATTATTTTCTGTTTTTTTTTTGTTTTTGTTTTTGTTTTTTTTTTTCTGAGATAGGGCCTCATTCTGTCACCCAGGCTGGAGGGCAGTGGCGTGATCTCAGCTCACTACAACCTCCACCTCCCGGGTTCAAGTGATTCTTCTGCCTCAGCCTCCCAAGTAGCTGGGATTACAGGCACATGCCACCACGCCTGGCTAATTTTTGTATTTTTAGTGGAGACAGGGTTTCACCATGTTGGCCAGGCTGGTCTTGAACTCCTGACCTCAGGTAATCCTGAGGCCCTCAAGCCTGCCTTGGCCTCCCAAAGTGCTGGGATTACAGGCGTGAGCCACTGCACCTGGCCGGAAAACATTTTCTGACCTCTGCTATAGAGTAATATTTGTCACTTAGTATTGGATGAATCTTTGTTGAATGAATAATTTTTTTTATAAATTCTATATACTCATATTTAACAATATTTCAAATATCCTAGTCACACAATTATTATAAATAGTTGTCTTGTTTTTTATTTTTTAATTTTTCTCCTCCTGTGTCTCCACACACCACCCTAAATAGTAGTTTTAAATTTTATTTGCATACCATAATATATTCAACGAGTTGCCTTTTATTAGATGTTTAAGATATTTTCTTTTTTTTTTTTTTTTGTGCTTTGTAAAGAGCCACACAGTGAACATGCATCTTTTCCCATGAGTACCACTGTATTAGGGTAAATTTAAAGAAGTGGGGTTTCTGGGTCAAAGGATAGTCACATTTTTATGTTTTTGATGTATTTTGCCAGACTGTCTCCCAGAAAGTTAGTACCAATAATATTTCATTTCCTCATAACTATACTCCAACATGTGAAATTAAGAGCAAGATTTTTAGTCAGCCAAGACATAAACATGAAAAAAAAAGTCAGATGGAAATCACATTACTTCTAAGCTTCTTTTGGTAATAGAACTGACTCATCCTGCCACAATGATGGGAGATATAAATGGTTTTTATTTGCCAAATTAAAAGCATGGTGGTGCCCTTGATTACATTTACATTTACCACTAATTCCCTGAGCTCTTGAACACAGGAGGAAAAAATCATTATGATAATGAAGGCAGCTATTTTTAAACAAATGTATGCATGTACATTTTAGAAACAGAAACATTATGTTCTTTAAAGTGTGAAAAATGCTTACATATAATTCATTTATTCATGTGAAACAATATAATAAAATATACTCATTTTTTTTAAAGGGCTTGTTTCACCTTTAGAAAGGAATAAGGTGGCAATCCAATTTCTGGGCTCCTTGATGGCAGGCTCAAAGTGTGTACTGACAGTGATGTATTTGGAAATTACTCTGATTCAAGAGTTCACAAAACTGAGCTGGGATGCCTGCTGCAGTCCTGCATTTCACCAGGAAGAGCTTGCTCGTTTGTCTTGTTTGGAGGTGTGTAAAAGGCCTAGTCACAGCGGGGTGGGGTGGGAGGGGGAGAGTGGAGGAGCCGTTCTGGCCTCATCAGCTTTTTTGAAAAGCCAGCTGGAAACTGAAATCGAGCTCCATTAGCAGCGCACTGGGAGGGCACCAGGGTTAAGTTCCTAGACCCGAATGCTAAGCTCCTTATGTTTTAAATCTTCTGTCAAGAAGATTACTGACCTTCCCTTTGATGCAATGCAAAAGTTAGTGGGTTGAGTAGTAAAATTTCAGACCTCTTAGTCACAGATAAAACTAGGTATTCAGAAGGAAGAAAAGCCTGCCTGTGTGCTGAACTGAGGAAATGGATAACTTCATTGTGCAGCCAAGGGTGCTCTTTCCCTTCTGTTTAATGACTAAAGCGGCGGTGGCAAATAGCCAGATGGCATGTAATGGAATTTAGGTAGCTATGAAGCAGGTAGGGGACCGAGAAGGAGTCAAAGGGAAGGGAAACATAATGCCTTGCTGTGTGGCCTCATTGAGTGGTTCCGAGGGCACCCAGCTATTCTGTCCGTCCTGCACTGGATCGACACTGCATAAAATGAAACAGAGAGTTGGAAATTAGCTGGTGAATAAGATGATGAAGAAACACAAACAAGGCTCTTCAGAGCTGGAAAGCTTCTGGGGCCATTGCTACGGCTCAGAAGCTCTCTGAAATACGTCAGGGACCCAGCTTTTTAAGGTAAAAGCCAGAGATGCCTTGTAAGTAAGAGTCAGTGTCTCCCTGGAAAAGTACAACTTATACACAGGAAAGTCTCTTCAGCGTAATTTTCTTAATCTCACTCTGTAGAGACTTCAACCAATTCCTCTAGTAAGGATGGAGAAAATAATGGTTTTAAAAAATAAAACTGACTATACCTCTACTGATCTCTTTCTGAATCCAGGTGACAATTGTCACTACCACTGAAGAGTAGGCTTTGCAGGTCTGACAACATAGAATGTCTTTATTTCAGGTTTACTTATGGCTGTCTATACGGTAGAACCTAAAAAAAGGATGTTAGAAATCATCTGGAAATTTTGTCAATGGAATAGTAAATATTATGGAACACATCTGAAGAGCATGCCACCATATACAAAACCCAAACTGGCTGGATAATTACCATCTTTGTTTCTAACTTCCTTCTAGTTTCTTTTAGAAATTACAATTGACAACTAGAACTTAACTGGAAAAGAAAATCCATATGACTGCTGATTAGATCACTCAGGAAGTGGGAATATTTATTTGTTAAATGACTTCCAAAGGTTATTTGCTGAGAGACAGCTGCTATACTGGAACTTCTAAGTCAAGATTATTGACGGCAACTGTTAGGCCCAGTCCATTAGAAACAAGTCAGCATTATAAACTAGTGGATGATTATTTTAGTTATAGAATAGATGATGGATATACGGAAGTCTCTCATTTTAATGAGATGCCAGTTGTGGGCAATTATTCAGTTACTTTTTTGGTAATTGCTCAAATAGTTTATCATAGCAGGTATACTTAAAAGTAGCAGAGTTAATTTTTCCATAGGTGTTTTATTGTGATTGATTTTTTTGGGGTAACCACTGCCTTTTCTTCAGTTTCTAGTTTTTCCAGGCTAAAAATTGTGGTGACCCAATTTTTTGTTGTGGAATATTTTAACTTAAGGGCATGCATTTATGCAATAGAGAAGATTCAGTATTCATTTCAAAGGAGAATTTTATTCCTGCCCCAAAATGCTTCCGTAGCTCACGGCCAAGTGGAGGTGAAATCACCTTTCCGTGCTTGTCAGGCTTTTCAATTTTCACCTAAGAATGTTAACTCTATTCCTAGCTCAACTGCCTGCCCAAGCATGAGGATTTTTATTGAATTAACAGAATAAAATAACTGTACTTTGGTTATTTTTTGTTGTTGTTGGGGAGTACAACATTAAACTCACTGCTTGTATGCATTATCTCTCAAAAGCTCAGGGGAGCTCCACAATATTCATGGAGGGGGAATATTGTTGTGTGGAGGCCATGCAGTTTAAACACTCCTCTAGACAACCCAAAATGATGCCTGGATTAAGCTAGAGCAGCAGAAATCTGTGTACCTAGACTGATTCCTATTGTCCCCTGGAAACTTGCTTTCTACTGATTTGATGTTGGAGTTGTGCCATCACCAGGGTAACCAACTGTCCTAAACAGTAGCTCCAGGCAGTTCTGGTTTTGAATTGAAAGTCCCACGTCAGGAAGTGTCCTAGTCCAGGACAAACTTGGGCAGTTGGTCACCCTACCAGTTAGGCATATGTCTCAGTAAAATTCACATGTGCATCTAACGTGAGGCCATGAATATCTTTGTGTGAATTCTCAGAAGGTAATTCTCTCTGGTCTTAGTTTCTCCTGAGCAACTGTGTATTTAACCAAACGACCTAAGGTTACTGTGAATTGTAGAATTGAAGAGTTTACTTTTTCTTTGCATTGGCAAAAAAAGAGCCAAATTTCTGGCAGAACTAATGGATTCATTTTTGTGTTAGCCACATATCTGGTTCAATTTTACGTCATTTCCTTTCCTTTCCTTTTTTTTTTTTGTTTCTTTTTCCTTTCTCTGCCACTTCAGCTGTGCTAACCGGTTATGTTTTACATAGCCGTGATAACTGCCTTTGATCTTCTTTTGTTCAAGAGGAGGCATAAATAAAAATTGCTCTGTTTCACCACAAAACTAATGTTGTAGGTCAGGTTCTCCAAGAAGGAGACTGATAAGGAAACTTGCCCTCAGGATCCATTAGGTGGAGGGGAGGAGCGCGGAAGGAGGAAGCAGAACAGGTAGATGCCAAGTTGGCAGTATCACAGTCACAAGAAGTCTTCAGCCAGTCCCGTGAGAGCTCTGCAGCTGGGAGGTCCCCTCAGAGTTGTCCTGGGTTTGGGCAAAGAAGGTGGCCCTTGCACTCCCTCCCCACCTTGGGGGATGAGTTATGGAATATGACCTGGCCATGGGAAGGGGTATGACCTTGGGATATGGGGTCTTTTCAAGCTGAAGAGCAAATCTCAGAGAGGTCAGGTGGCAGCAGCTATTCCAGCAGCTCCAAGAATAAGTCCTCCAGCATCACAGTGTCCTTCACAACCAGCATTTCCATCTCTCCACAATGATCCACCTGGCTGAAGGGCTGTGTGCAGTGGTAGAAGGAGCAGGGAAGTATTGGCTGTCCATCTGTAAAATAAGGATACTAATACCTTCATTGCAGAATTTTTGTGAAGATCAGTTGGGTCCTATATATAAAGCACTTATCACAGAGTATGCCATGTTGTAGATAAATAAATGGCAACTGCCATCATCTCTCTCTCTCTTTCCACATGGGCTTAATGAATCAATTAATGCATGCTGAATGGATCATTTTACTGAATGATCTGACTTTGCATCAAGGTAGTTAAAAAGTTTGAGAAAAACCAAAACAAAATCAGTTTGAAGCATGTACATCCTAATACTAGTAGTTTTAACAGACTTTCTTTAACAAATTAATAGCAAAAATATATATGTAAGATATTCTAGGGAGATTATTTGAAGGTCCCTAATGTGGGATTTCTTGTGAGTGTCTTGAGTCTTTGGGATGAAGAATTAGGAGAAGCCAGAGGAGCAGGTACAAAGGTGGGTAGGCAGCTTTGATGCTTTCCCAGTTGTCTTGGGGATTTTTTACATTTGGGGCATTTCTATGACCCACATTTTTTTTTTGTCAGGCACCGTGAAAGTAAGAGACCAAAAACAGATGACAGAAAACGAGAATAATGATGGTTGAAGAAAAGGAAAGAACTTAATTAAAGAAGGCAACACAGTCTTAAAGCTAAAAAATTTAAAAATAAAATAAGGTAACTATCACTGTGATACATTTTAAAATAAAGTATTTTTAAAGAGCTGAGTGTAAAAAGATTAAAGACAAATGAAACCCATGAGGTTAAAAACCAATACAATAATGCTGAGTTAAAATAAATAAATAAGATGAGATAAACTAAAAATATGACACAGAAATATTTGAAATTCTTTTGAACAATTAAGATGAAACATTTCATAAATGTATGACTGGAACAGTTGTTTTATAAACCTGAGGTTAAAGACGTGTACATGAAGACCCAAAATAATCCATTTACATTTAAGACCATTAAGAAGACATTTGATTATGTTCACTGTATTAAATAATTTCAAATTGAATGTCTGGTCCTTTAAAGAGCTTTTTTGGTGCCATTTACTTACAATGTGAATTTGCCTAGAAAATGTGAAGGAAGAGTAGCTGAATACAGGTAGGGTGACATTATGTTCGATTCCTTTAAAAGACATTTGAGAGCTGAGAAGGTAGTTAGAAAATATAACTCATCCCTACCCCTGTCACCTACCTTTCTCTCTCTCTCTCTGTCTCTCACTCTCTCTCTGTCTCTCTCTGACACACACACACACACACACACACACACACACACACACAGATTCCAAAAAAGCAGAAGTTTGCAGTCCTAAAGAAGTGTTTAAATATCACTGTGCAGATTATTTGTTGATCCCTGGAGTGCTTGTTAAAGGCACTTATTCTTAGAGTCTTCTCCAATCTACTGAATCAGAATTGCTGGAGCTTGGGCCTGGGAATATGCATTCTAACAAATGTGACAGGTAATGTTGATGTCCACTAAAGTCTGATAACCACTGTTTCAAGTGACAGGAATAATAACCTAGATTGGGGAGGTGAGAACTGGTGACATATAGAGCAGCTGAGAGGCAGTGAAAAGGTCTTTAACACGTATGTTTGAAAAATCAGCTGTCTCTAAGCTGAAATTGGCACAGAAAAGAGAAAATCATGTAAGAGATGCTTATCAAATTTGTAGACAACTCAATAGAAAGAAGGGTTAACATGATAGATGACAGCATTAAAGCTCAAAAGGGTCTTGACAGGCTGTGAAATAGGATTGAAATTAAGACGTTGAAATGTAACAGGGATAAATGTAAAATCCTATATTTGGGTTGACAAAGGAAAAAAATAATTCACTGCACAAGGTCAAGATGGAAGCAAGCAAATTAGTAAGAATTCATAAATGAGGACCCAGGAGATATTGTTGATGGTGTCCACGGTAGAAGCCACCACGGTAAAAAGGCTGCCAACAAAGCTACAACTATATGAGTCTGTATTTGTAGAGAGAGGTGGAGTGGGGTGAAGTGAGCTTGAGTTTCTTGATGAAACATTTCAAGGAGAATATTGAAGAACCAGAGCTCAGCCAGAGGAAGTGGCCAGGATGAGAGGACTGCAAAAATTGTGCTAAATGAAGGACAACTGAGATTTAACATAGAAAAGACAGGTTTTTCCAAATATTTAAAGGTATTTGTCATTTACAGTAGGGAATAATCAAAGAACAGATGAGACTGTGAGATCTTGAGGAAGCTAAAGACTGGGGCATGGAAGGATTGAGTAGAACCAGATAGAGAGTTCTGGAGAAAAACGACTAAGAGAAAGGTTTGATTGAGTATATAAAGTCAGTTCACCTGAATGGTGGCAGCAGAAAATTAATTGATTGGAGATTAGAGAGGAGTGGGTGATGAGTACATGGAGGCCATATTTGTAGATGACTCATTCTAGAATTTTGCTAGAGAAGATAGAGGAAAAAATTGGGTGAATCTCTAGAAAAGACACCAGACTTGACTGTAATTTTAAGATAGGGAAGTCCTATGGGTATTTGATGGGGTGACTAGATCTAGGTTTGCAGATTTATGTCTTTGTCCCACGGTGTTGTCAATATGGTGTCCCCTTTCATGCTCAGAAGTATCCTGGTGTTGACAAATCTCATGGTTCCACAGTATTTGAAGGCCGAAGGAAGTGAGCCAGTGGAGAGAGCACGTATAATGAGGGAGCAAGTCCTGCCAGGTCCTGGTTGGGCAGCAACAGGCCTGGGTCGGCCAGGGAGCCTGGCCAGGAATATGGTTGGATGGAAGAGGCTCTGGCAGGTGCTGTGAATCCAATGGCCGGGTGCCAAGTCTGGAACTCTGCGGGAACCAGCAGGGTTCAGCATTCTGTTTGGCAGTAATGAAGACTTTTGCATTTTAAAAGAGAATTCTCAAGAAGGGAAGCCTTCAGGGATCCAATGGATATGGTCAGACAGATACTCTGGCAGTGTCTGCCTGGGGCCTCTCTACAAGACCTTTCAAAGGCCAGCTACAAAGTCCATTCATTTTCAAAGGCATGCAGCCAGAAGCTCAGTGAGTGTCTCTCTTCTGCAGGGATTTCTGTCTCCAGAGTGGAATGGGGACAATCTTGCTTCATTAGCAATAGGCAAAAAGTAGAAACTATTAAGCCAGAGTGAGTTGTGTAAGTCTAAACCTCATAACCATGATAAATATACCATCAATGAGGGCTGCGGACATGGATGCTTTTTTGTGAGCGCACATTAATTGAGACCCATGGCTTTGGATGTCCTGTGGAATTCCCACTTACAAAAGGCAGATTTAATAACCTGGGTTTTTCAAATGCAAGGGAACCTGGGACTGTCAGCCATCCTTTTAACTGTTTGTTAGCCACTTTGTGATTGTATTTCTTTTTCTGACATGAAGGGGAGATAGGAACATTAAAACCTCATCTGTGGTTAAGAGCACAGTTATTGCAATTAGAGAAATCTGGTTGGAAGTTCATTTCTGTTACTTACTATTTGTGGTTTGCCTTTGGTCAAATGACATATCTGAGCCTCAGTTGCCTCCTATGTGAAATGGGAATAATGATAGTATAGTCTTCATAAATTTGTTGTAGGGATTAGATGAAGTGATGGATGCAAAGTGATTAGCATGTTTAACTTATTACATAGTTGGTGTGAACAAATAGTACCTGTTACTATTTGTATTGTTCTTATAATGCTGCCTTGTGGGTGAGATGTTTGAGGAAAGCTCCATGTAGAGTCAGGGAGTGCTTCAGCTTAGGTCTATTTTTCAAACATTACTGAGCACTTCATAGGTATGCGAAGGATTTGCTGTTCAGGAAAGTTACTTCTGAATAAAGAGCTTTGTTCTGTGCTGGCCTAGTGGGTACTCTCTGTGCAGTTTGGGTGAAACATGCATCTCTTCATGACATGGTTGTGAGTTTATCGAATCACATTTGATGATAATAACGACAACAATACACACCACCTTAAAGTTGCATAGTGCACAGCCCTAGGCCAGACCACTAGTGACTTCCCTGAGTGTTAAAACTCACATGGACAGTGCTTTACAGTTAACCAGTGTCTTCAAACAAAAGTGTGTGTGTGTGTGTGTGTGTGTGTGTGCGCGCATGTGTGTGTGAAGGTCATTACCTCATCACAGTAGCCACATTGCTGGGGGCAGGGCAGATATTATTTCTCTCATTCTTTTGGTTGAAATCAACTAGGTTTGTTTGATTGCTTTTGAAAAAGAGTGTTGATTGAACAGCTTTTATGAGAATAGACAAGATTACACTAAGCTTTGTAATCTTTAGTTATCTTTTTTTCCAGAGAGTTATACATTCAAATTTGGTGGCAAATTGAATTCAAGCTGCGCTGCATGTCACGACTGCAGATTAGTTAAAAACGATTAAGCCCTACAATATTGGAATTTGCGATTTTTCACCATTTCTTTGTGCTCTTCTTACGGTTAGAAGTGAGACACTGGCCATCAGTGAGCACTGACAGCCTTGGAAGACACCACCCTTTCCTCCCTTTCCTCCCTCCCTCCCTTCCTTTCTCAAATGCTTATTTCTCTTCCATTTTGTGCAACTAAAGCTTGCAATGTATAGATCAATATGCCTTTAAAATATACTTTAATTTAAAATATGTCTACATATGGTCATTTATCTTTCCACTTAGCCTGATTTCTTTTTCTCCACGGGCTTAGTTTGTGGGTCTGGAGCCAATTTACATCACTGACTAAAACAAGCCTAGATAGTTTGTGACCCATTTTTGTTAGAAGTTTTTCTCTCCCTCATCTACAATCACAGCCATTAAGATAGCTTACACTAGCCTGGCTGATGATTTTCAGATTTGAGTCTCAGAAAACTGTGAGCATGAGGTTTTCAGAAACACTTGGAATCACTGAAGCTGAGTTCTCTCATCTGTGAAATGACCGTATTAACATTCTCCTAAAATACGGGAGTTGAAATGTACCTTCTAATTCCTGGTTGATGAGTTTTTAAGGCCAAAACTTTAGCCTATGTAATTCACCTTAAAAGCAAAGTATGACTGACTTGATAACAAAGATTTCTAGGTCCATCATTGACATTCTTTTTATTTTTTATTTTTTATTTTTATTATTATTATTTTTGAGACGGAGTTTCACTCTTGTTGCCCAGGCTGGAGTGCCATGGCCCGATTTCTGCTCACCGCAACCCCTGCCTCCCGGGTTCAAGCAATTCTCCTGTCTCAGCCTCCCTAGTAGCTGGGATTACAGGCATGCTCCACTGTGCCCAGCTAATTTTGTATTTTTAGTAGAGATGGGGTTTCTCCGTGTTGGTCAGGCTGGTCTCGAACTTCCAACCTCAGGTGATCCACCTGCCTTGGCCTCCCAAAGTGCTGGGATTACAGGCGTGAGCCACCGTGCCTGGCCTAACATTCTTTAATACCAGCAATGCTGGTGGTGATGTTGGTGGTGGAGGTGATGTCACTACCAGCAATGGAAGAAGGTAGATGAAAAAAGACCCATAAGTATGAGAGCATAGTAATCAACGTGTCACAAGCAGTCATTTAGCATTATGGTTCAAGGTAATAATGAAAATGTCATTTCAAATTATTCTATCATTTATTAAGAAGACATAAATGACATCCTCAAAATTCAGGTTAAGATCAACAAGTGTTCTTTGAGCTATTAGCTGCAGGGTCATTTTGACCTTAGTTTGGTCCAGAGACCATCTTGTCACTGCCTTTCCTGTTCCTATGCATTTTGCATGATAGTATGGCACAGTAAACTGAGCATGGACTTTGGAATCAGTCACACTGGGGTTCGGATCTAGGGTGGTTTACTTACAAATTGTGCAACATATTTAACTGTGAGTAGTCTGCTTTCTAAAATATAAAAATGAGAATAATGCCACCTTCCTCAGTGTTGTTGTGAAGATTAAATGTGATAATGCTGAGAAGTTCTTCGCACAAAAAATTGGTTATATTTATGGAATGGTTGTTCCACTCTTTTTACACACACACACACACACACACACACACACACACACACATATTTTTTTGAGACAGAGTCTTGCTCTGTCGCCCAGGCTGAAGTGCAGTGGTGTGATCTTGGCTCACTGCAACCTCAACTTTCCAGGCTCAGGTGATCCTCCTACCACAGTCTCCTGAGTAGCTGGGACTACAGGTGTGCACCACCACTCCTGGCTAATTTTTAAATTTTTTGTACAGGCAGGGTTTCACCATGCTTCCCAAGCTGGTCTTGAACTCCTGAGCTCAAGCAATTCTCCTGCCTCAGGATCCCAGAGTTCTGGGATTATGGGTGTGAGCCACTGCACCCAGCCTTACATATATTATTTTTACTCTTCACTCAACTTAGTTAGATGACACTCTTATTTCCATTTTATCGATGAGAAATCAGAGAGGTTAAGTGACTTGTTGATGCTACATAGTAAGGAACTGAGGGGGCTTCACACCTGGGTCTACAGTTTCCACAGCGTGAGCCTTTACTGTGTTCCCTCCCACATGGTAGGTCTTCAACAATGGTAGATATCCTGCTCCTTCCATGAAGGTTTGTAACCGAGGGTCTGAAAGAAATGATTTCTTCTTATTAAATAAGTACAGTTAGATAGAAGGAATAAGATCCAGTATTTGGTAGCACAACAGGGTGACTACAGTTAACAATAATTTATTGTATATTTTAAAATAACTAAAATAATGGAATTGGAATGTTCTTAACATAGAGAAATGATAAATGCTTGAGGTGATAGACACCTCAATGGCTCTGATTTGATCATTACACATTGTATGCCTGTATCAAAACAGCACATGCACCCAACAAATACATACAACTATTATGTACCTATAATAACTAAAAATACATGTTTTAAAAGGAAGGATTATTGCATAGTTTACACATTCATTACATATTTGTCTTGCAAAAAAAGATTATAGATTTATGACTTCCAGGGAAAATAAAAGCTTACAACCTTCTATACTGACACTCTATGAAGCTGAGTGAGGGATTCTGGATGTTATTAGTCACATGATCCTAATGACATTGTTCAGAATTGAAGGTTCTTGCTATATCCTTAAATATTCCCTTTCATTTTTTTTAAAAAAAAAGGTTTCTATTTTGATATAATTTGAGCTTACAGAAAATTCACAAGAATAGTACAAGGAACTTCTATATACCTTTTATCCACATTTGCCAAGTTTATACACGCATATTTTTCTCCACTTGCTTTATAATTCTGTGTATATAATTATATACATATATGTGTGTAATCCACAGTGCAATGATTTAATCCACATCCACAGTGTGTGCTGTTGTGATACAGGCATATAATGTGTAGTGACCAAATCAGGGTAAATGGAGTATTTTACATACATATATGTGTGTATATAAAATATAGATAGAATTTTTTTCCTGCACCACTTCAGAGTAAGTTATAAGACCTCAGATACATCATGTTCCTTTAAGATTATATGTGGTAGTGTGTCTTTCCTTTGAACAAGGAAACCTCTGACAATAACCACGGTATAATGATCAAAATCAAGAGTTGTAACATTGACACAGTACAATGATTTAATCGACAGTCCATATTCAAATATTGTCCATTCTCCAAGATCAGTCTAGGATCACTCATTATTTTTAATTGTCATGTCTCTTTACTGTCATTCAGTCTGGAACAATTCTTCAGCCTTTGTGTTTTTGACTTTGAAATTTTGCATAGTACAGGCCAGTTATTTTGTAGAATATTGCTCAATTGACTTGTGTGATATTTCCTTATGCTTAGATTTGGGTTACAGATGTGTGGCAAGAAAACCATATAGGTGATGTTGTGGGCCAGGCACGCTGACTCACGCCTGTAATCCCAGCACTTTGGGAAGCCGAGGCGGGCAGATCACCTGAGGTCAGGAGTTTGAGACCAGCCTGGCTAACATGGTGAAACACTGTCTCTACTAAAAATACAAAAAAATTAGCTGGGCACGGTGGTGTGTGCCTATAATCCCAGCTGCTCGGGAGGCTGAGGCAAGAGAATTGCTTGAACCCAGTAGTGGAGGTTACAGTGAGCTGAGAACGTGCCACTGCACTCCAGCCTGGGCGACAGAGAGGGACTCAGTTTAAAACAAAACAAAACAAAACAAAACAAAACAAAACAAAACAAACAAACAAACAACAACAACAAAGAAGTGATGTTTGTTGTGTCTTTCTCAGTGCATTATTGTATTGGGATGCCTATGATGTTGATTTGTTCCAATTTCAGTATTGTTAAACTTTATCACTTGCTTAAGATGACGTCTGCAAGATTTTTCCAATGAAAGTTACTATTTTTTCTTTATAATTAATAAGTAATTTATGGGGAGATGCTTTGAGATTTTGTACATATCTTGCTCTTCATCAAATTGGTTTGCTTACCAATTTTAGCATTCGTTAGTGATTTTCTAACACCCATCCTTTATTTTATATGCATTAGCATTCTACTGTCAGAAAATGTTTTCCCTTGTCCTCCATTAATCTAACTAATTATTTATTTTTATCAGTATGGACTCATGGATTCTTATTTTAGTCAATGAGTCATAATTCATTACTATCACTATTTATTTTGTTGCTTTAAATGTCTTGCATGTGGTCAGTGGAAATCTGAAGCTGGCTTTTGTGTCTTTTGGGCATGTTTCCATCATTTTTTTTGGAACACTTTTGTATTTTCTCGCACAAGATGTTCCAGGCTCATTTTGTACTTATTCTGCCATAACCCTGAAATCAATCTTTTTTTTCCCACAGAGCTTTGGTTCTTTTTAGGGGAGAATGCTAAATAAAAACCAAGCTCTGGCAGGTGTTAATACCGGAGTGCAATTTACTTCTAGTGTAAGTAGCTCTCAGTGTACACAGCTAGGAAACACACATGCACACACACATATTTATAGTTATTTCTCTTCTACTTATCATCTATGTGTTAGAAATCCTGGGTTATTTCTCATACCTCCAATTCCAACTCAACATCATAGGCTTTTTATTGCAGCCTTCCCCTTTCCATATTTGTAACTTTCATCTCCAACAGTGAAAAACCTGGCTGCCACTATCCAAAATATTTACTAATTTATTCAGACTTAGAAACTAGTGCTAGAATTCTTAACTCATACTATTGCCAAAAGTAAACCTATGTACTAGAGTTCAATCTTTATTTATAATTATTTTGAGGATAAAAATTGTATACAATCACAGGCATAAATCTGGAGTCCGATTTGCTGAGTTTTGACAAATGCATGCACCTGGATGTCCTGCATTCCTATGAAGATATAGACATTTAAAAAATCATTCCAAAAAGTTCACTTGCACCCCTTTCTAGTCAATTTTTCCAGAATAAACTAATTTACACATTTGTTTTACTATAGATTAGTTTGCTTTTTAAGTGGAATCATAGAGTATGTATATATTTTTATATTTCATTTTCAATTCCTCTACAATTTAACTGTGCTTCTTTCAGCATTTTTATAGTGTAGCTCTACATAATTATTTCTAAATCTGAATGCTCATTTTCATATTTACATGAAACTCTGCTCTTATTTAGCAGGATTGCTAAAGCAATTGTAGTGAGAGAAATTGTCTTACTATAAAAGAATGCTAGAAAAGAATGGAATCCTGCTGATCTGAAACTAAAAACTCTGGGAATTAATTTTTATGAGACCCAGTATAAAATTGGTTGCCTAAATGAGATTATCATCATACCACTGAGCTACTGATCATCATTTAGATTCCTCAAAATCCACATCAATTCATCAGGCATATGTTCACTTATTCTGATATTCATTCACTCATTTAGAAGTATTTATTCTAAATACTTCTGACCACATCCTAGATACTGTTCCAACTATTGGAGACCTGGCAGTGAAAAACTAGGTAATGTTCCCCATTCTGCTGGAGCTTCATGTATTCTATTTCCAGTGCTCTTCATTTTCTTTTTTTTTTTTTTTTTGAGACGGAGTCTAGCTCTGTTGCCCAGGCTGGAGGGCAGTGGCATGATCTCGGCTCACTGCAAGCTCCGCCTCCCAGGTTCATGCCATTGTCCTGCCTCAGCCTCCTGAATATCGGGGACTACAGGTGCCCGCCACCACGCCTGGCTAATTTTTTGTATTTTTAGTAGAGACGGGGTTTCACCGTGTTAGCCAGGATGGTCTTGATCTCCTGACCTCGTGATCCACCCGCCTCGGCCTCCCAAAGTCCTGGGATTACAGGTGTGAGCCACCGTGCCCGGCCTATTTTCTTTTTTTTCTTTTTGTTTTTTAATGTAGATTGAGGTTTCAGTCTGATATTTTTATGGACTGAATGTTCGTGTCCCATGAAGTTCATATGTTGAAGCCTTAACCCCCAATGTGATAATATTTGGAGATGGGGTCTTTGGGAGGTAATCAGATCATGAGGGTGGGGCCCTGGTCTGGTAAGATTGCTGTCTTATAAAAAGAGACCCCAGAGAGTCTGCTTTCTTCTCTTTACCATGTGAGGACACAGCAAGAAGGCAGCCGTCTGCAAGCCAGGGAGATGGACCTCTCCAGATCCAGAACATGCCGGCATCCTCATCACAAACTTCTAACCTCCAGAACGGTGAGAAAATAAATCAATGTTGTTTATGCCACGTAGTCTGTAGTATTTTGTTATGGCAGCCTGAACAGACTAAGACAGATATCATACTTCCTTCAGTACTTCTCATAGAGTTAAGTATGCAGGCAATGGCTTCCCTCAGTTTTTATTTATCTGAGAAAGTATTTCTCCTTCATTTTTGAAGGAGACTTTTGCTGGGTGTAGAATTCTGGTTGGCATTTAAAAATTTCCAGCACTTTAAAGATGTCACCCCCTTGTCTTCTGTTTTGTACGGTTTCCGATGAGAAGTTGGCTACAATTCTTATCTTTGTTCCTCTGTATGTAACATGTCTTTTTCTTCTCTGGTTCCTTCAAGATTTTTTCTTTTTCTTTTCTTTTCAGTAATTTGAACGTGATATACCTCAGAGTAGTATATAAGGGAAATAGAAGCCTCATCTTCCTTGTATGTGGCAAGAGAATTCCACCAAGAAGCTTTCTGCTGTTTGATATATGTTGGTCCCTTGCCTGTGGTGCCCTCCCTAACCCCTAGTCCTCATCAAATCCTATTTAGGTATTAGGAGCTAGCTCAAGTCCTGAGTTTGTGAGACTAGTAGATACCATGCTGTATTTTCTTGACCTACAAACCTTTTCTCCTTTGAACTAGACACATTTTAGACTAAACTTGTTTTTTATTCTGTAAAATGATTTTAAAATGCTTTACCATCCACAATCTTCTTAGACATATTCTCTTTACTTCTAAAAATTAGTCCAGGATTTAAGCAGTCTTTTTTTTCCTGTTTGTTTTTTAGTACATTGTCAAGTAAAACCTTACAGGTCTTTCCTCTATTAGTATAATTAATTTATTCAGCTCATACGATTAACTTAATTAGGTTGTTTTCCTTTTTAATAGGTGAGCAGGAAGGTGAGAGGAGGAAGGCAGGTAAGGGCTGGGTGGCTTTGTCAGTGTGTAGCCTGCACAGTCACACTGGGCCCACACTAAGAGGGATCCTGTGCTTGGTTTTATGCTGTGCTGTTGCCATCTTGAAATTCCTAATAACATTTGAACAAAGGGCCCTACAATTTCACTTTACATTGGGTTACCCTGAAAATTAGGTAGCTGGGTCCTGAGTGTGGGATTAACATCTTGGTTGGGACTTTGGACAGTCAGAAGGTATTGTAAGGTGCTTGTCTTGGGCAGATAAGAAAGAGATACAAGAAGGCAGAGCCCTCCCCAAGGCAGCAATTCCAAAATATTCTTCTACAGGGCATTTCATTTATGTGTTATGTGTGAAAAGGCATTATTAGGCAAATACATTTCAGAAATGTATTAAGAAAAGTTAAATAATTTTTGTTAGAAAAGTATGTTTCAGTTATAAATTTGATGAGCAGCACTGTGATAACCAAAATAGGATGTTGTCTGCAGCATTTCCAACACTCATTTTGCTGTGGCTACTAGTCTGTGGGAACAAGTTTTCTTCAGAGTGCAATTTGGCAAATGGGGACAGTAGTTCCAGGTTCCCAGAGTGAGGAGACCCACTCCCAGCAGGAGCTTCGGTAACTAGGCTTGTGGATTGTCTAGTTGAGTGAGAAGAAAGGATCATTGTTCTCCAGTGACAGACCAAAGACATTGTTACATGCATGAGCCTCGGGTTGACTCTATCCCCATCTCTATTCCTAAATGCCTTCCAGGTGATATCTTTCTTTCCTTTTCCTGTTTAAGATTGCCCTTCAATGTACATCTTGGTCAATTTTTACCTTTATGAAAGATTAGAGGGTATGTGCCTATTAAATCATAAATGAGTCTGCAACATGCATGTCTGGTCTGGAAACTTTGGGTGGATATTCTCCAATGAGCACACACAAAAAAAAGGAGACTTGGCCTCTGTACTATAGATGCACAAACTCATTTATTACTAAATGAATAAAAGCAGTGATCAGAGTCTGGATCCCTTCCTCTTTGGGGATCCCTATGCACAGCATGCTCTGCATATCCCATTATACCAGCCCTGGCTGGGAGCCATAGAAATAACATCGTAAGTGATCCTGTATTACCCTCTAATGTAACCATCAGCCTTACTCTATAAATCAGCTGGAAAATGAGCCTACACTTAAGGAGCTTGTGCCTAGCACACAGGAGACCACTCAGAAGTATGTGAGCAAAGATGGGGAGGGGTAACTGGGGATCACACACTGGAGCTCTTCAGAAGTTGGCACAAGTTAGTGGGTAGATTGCCAGTGAGTCTTCATTATGTGCCCATTACTTTCAGAGCATATTTAATATCCAATAGTGATATGGTTTCAAGCCATGGTTTTCAATTCTGGCTCAATCACATATGAGAATTTTGAAAAGAAAAAGAATAAGTTACACCACCTTTCTCAGATTTTGATTCAGTTGGTATGAGCTGGGCACAAGAATCTGAATTTTCAACAAATACTTCCAGTGACTCTGATGCAGAGTTCAAGAACTAAGGCAATAGAGTAAACTTTAGACAAAAAGTGTTAAAAGTACACTTCAAAGTCAGCAGATCTGAGCTGAGAAACAACAGATGTTAATGTAATCTGGAAAAACCTTTGCATTCCCTTTTTTCCTTACAGATCCTCTTCTTCCTATAGAATACTTCTGGTGACAAAAGAACCTATCACTCTTCTCTGGGATTGAGATCTTGTGGTAATATTCTAATTGTTTTTCTAAACATTTTCTAATTATTTTTCTAAATATTTTTATTTCATTATCACTGTAACTTTTAAAAACTGTTTTTATTGTGTCTCTGGAGGAAAATAATTACACAGTATACAGTACTGTAAATATGCTGTGAAGCTCCAATTATAACTAAAAAGACTGTATATATGTGTGTCTGTGTGTCTGTGCGTGTGTGTGTGTGTGTGTGTGTCTGTGATTAAAAAGAATTATGCCTTTCATGGATTGTCTTCAACAATTACTCTGAAGCTTTTTTCACCAGTTAGTTTTTACAATTCAGTTTTGTATCATGCTACATTTTCCAGTATAAAATCAGTTTATAAAAAACTTATTTTACAATGAACACTCATATGCCTACTGCCTAGATTCTGCTTCTAATGTTTTACTCTACTTGTCTTTAACACATATCTATTCAGTTTCTTTTACTGATCTCATCCTTTAATCCATCTTAACTTTTGATGCATTCCAAAATAAACTGCAGACATCAGAACACTTCCTCCTAAACAGTCTGCAATATATGTTTTTATTTGTTTGTTTTTGTTTTTTTTTTTAATTGTGTTTTACTTTAAGTTCTGGGATACATGTGTAGAATGTGCAGGTTTTTTACATAGGAAAACATGTACCGTGGTGGTTAGTCTGCAATATATATTTATTATAATTTTTTGACCTAAGGTTTATATACAAAGAAATTCACAAATATTAAGTGTATATTTGTTAAATTTTTCTAAATGCAAACCTCTATGTGATGCAAATCCTTATTAATATACAGAACGTTGCCACCACTTCAGAATGTTCCTTCTTACCTTTTCCCAGGCAATCCTTACCTCTTGTTTGTGCCAAGATTTTATTTAAATGGAATCATACAGTATGTACTATTCTCCTTTCACTCATTAGAATCTTCTTTTTTTGTATTTTTTGTTGCTATATCATAGTTGAACATATTTTGGGGGGTACATGTGATATTTTGATACATGTATATAATGCATAATGATCAAATCAGGTAACTGGGATATCTATCACCTAAAACATTTATCTTTCCTTTGTGTTGGGAATATTACAATTCTTCTCTTCTAGCTATTTGGAAATAAATGATAAATTATAGTTAACTTTAATTCTCCTACTGTACCAATGAATATTAGAACTTATTCCTTCCATCTAAATGTATTTTTGCAGCATAGTATTATGAGACTCATCCATATTGATGTTTGTATAAGCAATTGGTTCCTATTTATTGCTGAGTAGTGTTCCATTGTGCAAATATATCATAATTTGTTTACCCATTTCCTGTTGATGGACATCTGGGCTGTTTTCAGTTTTGGGCTATTACAAATGAAACTGCTGTGAGTATTCATGTTCAAGTGTTTCTGTGAACGTATGCTTTGTTCCTCTTGGGTGGAAATCTCAGAGTAGAACTGCAAATTGACATTTGCAGGAAGAGCTAATCACTGAATTGGGGAATAGGGAAGACTGAATCTGGGAAATGCAGCTAAAATTTTACAGGGTTTCCTATGTATCACTTGGCATACATTATCTGACTTACATTTTTTCAAAGTTGAATTTTTCCATTGGGTGGTTAAGAGTAGAATTTGGAGGCCAGGTGCAGTGGCTCACGCCTGTAATTCCAGCACTTTGGGAGGCTGAGGTGGGCGGATTGCTTGAGGTCAGGAGTTCGAGACCAGCCTGGCCAACATGGTGAAATCCTGCCTGTATTAAAAATACAAAAATTAGCAAGGCTTGGTGGCACGTGCCTGTAGTCCCAGCTACTTGGCAGGCTGAGGCACGAGAATCCCTTGAACCTGGGAGGCGGAGGTTGCAGTGAGCCAAGATCGCGCTGCAACACTCCAGCTTGGGTGACAGAGCAAGACTCTGCCTCAAAAAAAAAAAAAAAAAAAAAAAAAAAAAAAGTGGAGTTCGGACACTGGTGGCTTGTCTTATATGACCTTTTGGTGGCATTTTATTAACTATTAAATATACTCAAATACAACTAATATGCAATCAGTTTTTTTGTTTTTTAATTTGTAGTTAAGTTGTCTGAATGCCTGACAAGATGGAATTCCGTGCAGGTATTAGAGGGGAAGCTTTGATATCTTGTGTTTTATCTTAAAAATTCACATGGATCCTTACTTTTTATGTTATTTCTTTGACAAAATGATAATAAAAATTGCTTATGATCTGTGGAAAAATTTATTTGACAGAGAAGTTGCACTATATTTTTATCACTGGATTAAAAAAAGATGAGTATAATTTTAAAATATTATAAACTTAAAATACGGAGAAAAACATGTGCACAATATTTCAAGCTTTGTTTTGAATGGAATCATTCCTCCAGACATTTAATATAAGAAGCATATATTATAACTTTTAAAGTCATACATATAAGCTCTAAATTGTAGACTTAAAAGTACACTTGTAGATATTTTTACTCAGTATTATTTGGAAAATAATATATATCCAACCACATAAAACATTTCTTATGAATTTAATATAAGGGTAACTAAAAAGGTACTTATGAGTTAATTTATTTTCCCTCTCCTGACACTTGGGATAAAGTGAATACTCTAGGAAGAAGCACCTTGTTCATTTATACTGTGGCCATGTTCCCTGGAGCTACATGTATACTTGTAGGAAAAGCACAGGCTAGAAAAGGATTCATAATTGTGTTCATTCTACTGAATTTTTTATTCAACGAAATTTATCATACTTTTAGTAGCAAATTGTTACACTGTGCACTAATGATGTAATCATGAATGTTTTAATGTGTCGAGTTCATTCCCTATATGAAACCCATTATGCATTGTCCCATTTTATCCTTCTACCAACCTTATTATGCATTTTCTCACTTTTACTTGCTATTTTTATTTTATTTAAAAAAATACTTTCAACTTTTATTTTAGATTCAAGGGGTACATGTGCAGGTTTGTTATCTGGGTATATTTCATGATGCTGAGGTTTGGGGTGCAAATGATCCTGTTATCCAGGTAGTGAGCATAGCAGCTATGAGTTTTTCAGCCCTTCTTCCCTCCCTGGCCCCTCTAGTAGTTTTCAATGCCTATTGTTCCTATATTTATGTCCATGTGTACCCAGTGTTTTGCTCCCACTTACAAGTCAGAACATGTAGTATTTGGTTTTCTGTTCCTGTGTAATTCACTTCGGATAATGGCCCCTAGCTGCATCCATGTTGCTACAAAGGATATATTTACTCACCATTTTATATATGAGGAAACTGGGGTTTAAGTAAGAAAAGTAACTTGTTTGTGGTCCCACAATTTGCAAGCTGAGGAGGGATTCCAACACAGGCAGCCTGACTCTAAACCCATACTCTGAATTGTTAGTGGAGAGCCAGCCAGTTATCTCATGTCATTATACTGAACATCACGGTGATTTTGTTTATCTGGAAGGAGTGAAAGGAAGCAACATAAATGTTGGATAGAGGAAACACTTGATTTTATAGTTTCCACTGATTATTTTATACAGCATTTTTTTCCCTCCATTCCATTCCATAAGACCACTAGTGGGTCAGACTGGCCTGAGTCAGGCTGGCGGTCCTTTGGATTGGAGGGTCACATGATCCAATGCTTAGAGAGTAATTGATTTTCACAGTGTCCTGTCTCACAGCTCACCACTGACAGGAGTGACCAAGAAGAGCATGGGGCTCTAGGACTTATGACTTGAGCAGGACAAGGAAGGTCTCCAAAAAAGAGTCGCTTTTTTTATTGCAAAGTCTTTCTTCCATTTAGATCTCACCAAAGATGCTCCTGTGAGAAACATTTTACCTAGTAGTCAATATTTATTTGTTTAAATCATTTACGGCCATGTTTTAAAAGGCATTGCCAAGTAGATATGGATATCTACTTTGGTTAACATCAAGATTTATTTTTCTAAGAAGTTTCAAATATATTGATTAGCATGAGGCTGTGATACTTGATTCATCTTAATACTTTAAAAACGTCTGCTTAAAAACTGACACTGGTTCCCTATTGAATACTGTGTAAGATTGATGCATCTCCGTTAGACTTTCTAGGAGTTTAGTGTTACTCTAGCTATCCAGCCTTTGTTCCCTATCACCCAAATAAACTTGGTATTTTAATTGGACCAATTTCCTTGCTCTCCTACAAATACCCGTTCTTTTCTGCCTCCTTGCTCATGTTGGTTTTGCCAACCCATTCTCTAAGCTTATTCAGAATAAGCCATTCCAGCTGTCATTTCACCTCTTCTTTGAATGTTTACCTGGTACTATAGTGGTTAAGAAAGTAAACTCTGGATTTAGATACACTTGTACCTGGCAACTTATTCTACCTTTCTTAGTTCATTTTTTTCACCTGTGAAGTAAGGATAATAGTAGTTGATATGGTTTGGCTCTGTCTACACCCAAATCTCATCTCAAATTGTAATCCCCACATATTGAGGGAGGGACTTGGTGAGAGGTGATTGGATCATGACAGCAGCTTCCCTCATGCTGTTCTTCTGATAATGAATGAGTTCTCATGAAATCTGATGGTTTAAAAGTGTTAGCAGTTTCCACCCCCCACTACCATGTAAGATGTGCCTCACTTCCCTTTCCCCTTCCACTGTGATTTTAAGTTTCCTGAGGTCTCCCCAGCCATGTGGAACTGTAAGTCAATTAAACCTGTTTTGTTTATAAATTACTCAATCTCAGGGAGTTCTTTATAGCAGTGTGAAAATGGACTAATATGGAAAATTGGTAGCAGGAGTGGGCACTTCTAGAAAGATACCTAAAAAATGTGGGAGCAACTTGGAACTGGGTAATGGGCAGAAATTGGAATAGTTTGGAGGGCTCAAAAGAAGACAGGAAGATGAGGGAAAGTTTGAAACTTCCTAGAGACTTGTTGAATTTTTGTGACCAAAATGCTGATAGCGATATGGAAAATGAAGTCTAGGCTGAGGTGGTCTCAGGTGGAGATGAGGAACTTCTTGGGAACTGGAGCAAAGGTCACTCTTGCTATGCTTTAGCCAAGAGGCTGGTGGCATTTTGCCCCTGCCCTAGAGATCTATGGAACATTGAACTTGAGAGAGATGATTTAGGGTATTTGGCAGAAGAAATTCCTAAGCAGCAAAGCATTCAAGATGTGACCTGGCTTATTCTGAAAGGTTCAGTTATATGCATTCACGAAGAGATCATTTGAAACACAAAGTTATGTTTGAAAGGGAAGCAGAGCATAAAGGTTTGGAAAATTTGCAGCCTGTCCATGTGGTAGAAAAGAAAAACCCATTTTATGGGGAGGAAGTCAAGCCAACTGCATAAATTTGCATAAGTAATGAGGAGCTGAATGTTAATAGCCAAGACAACAGGGAAAGTGTCTCCAGGGCATATCAGAGACCTTCACAGAAGCCCCTCCCATCACAGAATCAGAGGTCTAGGGGGAAAAATGGCTTTGTGGGCCAGGCCCAGGACCCTGCTGCTCTGTGCAGCCTAAATACTGATGCTCTGCATCCCAGCCATTCCAGTTCCAGCTATGGTTAAAAGGGCTAAGGTACAGCTCAGGCTGTTGCTTCAGAGGGTGCAAGCCCCAAGCCTTGGCAGCTTCCAGGTGGTGTTGGGCTGGCAGGTGTGCAGAAGACAAGAGCTGAGCTTTGGGAGCCTCCGACTAAATTTCAAAGGATGTATGGAAATGCCTGGATATCCATGCAGAAGTCTGCTGCAGAGGTGGAGCCCTCATGGAGAACCTCTACCAGGGCAATACAGAGGGGAAATGTGGAGTTGTGCAGCCCCCACACAGAGTCCCCACTGGAGCACCACCTAGTGGAGCTGTGAGAAGAGGGCCACCATCCTCCAGACCCCAGAACGGCAGATCCATTGACAGTTTGCACTGTGCACCTGTTAATGCTGCAGGTACTCAACACCAGCCCAGGAAAGCAGCCAAGGTGGTTGTACCCTGCAGAGCCACAGGGATGGAGCTGGCCAAGTCCTTGGGAGTCCACTCCTTGTTTCAATATGCCCTGGATGTGAGACATGGAGTCAAAGGAGATTATTTTGGAGCTTTAAGATGTAATGAGTGCCCTGCCAGGTTTTAGGCTTGCATGGGGCCTGTGGCCTCTTTGTTTTGACCAATTTCTCCCATTTGGAATGGGACCATTTACCCAATGCCTGTATCTCCATTGTATCTTGGAAGTAACTAACTTGTTTTTGATTTTTACAGGCTCCCAGTGGGAAGGGACTTGCCTTGTCTCAGATGAGACTTTGGACTTGGACTTTGAGTTAATGCTGGAATGAGTTAAGACTTTGTGGGACTGTTGGAAAGGCATGATTGGTTTTGAAGTATGAGAAGGACATGAGATTTGGGCGGGGCCAGGGGTGGAATGATATGGCTTGACTGTGTGTCCCCATCCAAATCTTATCTCAATTATAATCCCAATGTGTTGAAGGAGGGACCTGGTGGGAGGTGATTGGATCATGAGGGCAGTTTCCTCCATGCTGTTATCATGATAGTGAGTGAGTTCTCATGAGATCTCATGCTTTAAAAGTGTTTGGCAGTTCCCCCCATCCCTCCTGCCACCATGTAAGATGTGCCTTGCTTCCCCTTCACCTTCCATCATCATGGTAAGTTTCCTGAGGGCTCCAAACCATGTGGAACTGTGAGTCAATTAAACCTGTTTTGTTTATAAACTTCCCAGTTTCAGGGAGTTCTTTATAGTGTGAAAATGGACTAATACATTAAAGTGGCTCCCATGATCCCTGCTCTGATGTGTCTTTCCCTCCCTTTGAACATGGGCAGGACTTGCAACTTGCTCCTAACCAACAGAATATGGCAAAGGTAACAGAATATACATGATTGCATTTACATGATTGTGTTACATATGATTGTAACTTCTGTTTTGATAGGAAATCCTCTTCCTTATGCTTTGAAGAAGCAAGCTGCCAGGTTATGAGCTGCCTCATGGAAAGGGCCACGTGGCAGGAGCTGAAAGTAGACAACAGTCAAAAAGAGACTGAGGCCCTCAGTCTGGCAGCCTGCAAGAAACTGAATGCTGCCAACAGTCATGTGCTTGGAAGCTGATCCTTCCCCAGTTGTGCCTCAGATGAGAGCCCGGTTCTGGCCCACACCTTGATTATAGCCTAGCAGAGGACCTAGCTCAGCCATGGCTGGACTTCTGACCCAGAAAACCATGAAATAATAAAGTATGTTGTTTTAAGTTGCTAAATTTGTGGTAATATTATTATGGAGCAATAAATAACTAATATAGATACTATCTACTGTATATGATTGTTGTGAGAATTAAATGAAATAATGCATGTAAAGGCTTAGTACTGTCTTTGGCACACAATAGATACTCAACAGTTAACAGGTTCATGCCCTGACTTCCACCCTCTGCCTTCCAGTTTTCACTGATCGAGCAATAGTTGAATCCCTGTAGCACTTACCAGTGTTGGAAGAGACATTTAAGTATATTTAGTCTCATCTTGCAGCTGGTATTTACATTCTTCTACTAATTTACTTTCTGTCTAGTCTTTGCTAAAATAGCTCCAGTGACATGCAGCTCATTCTTGAGGCTTCCCTTTTTACAAAAGTAATGGCTCTGGCATCCTTTGCTAATCAGGACATAGTCTCTCTGAGGCCCACAAGATCAGCAGACTTGCATCATGATCATTTGAAACCGCAGCCCTTTTCAAACATATCTGCTGGAGCGTTATTACAAAAGACTATATTTAAATAGCCAATGAGCATATAAAAAGGTGTTCATAAGCATTCCACCAGCTTCCACCCACACCCTGAAGGCCCAATGCCATATTAACCACTTGCCCAAGGAAAGGGCTCTTTTCCTCAAGGAAGACTGCTCTCTTCTTCAGAATCTAGTGTCAATTTCCTCCCTGGTTTTCAGAGCATGCTAGATAGGGGAAATTTCACTTCCCTGCCACCCACATGGAAATGATATTTCTCTTTGATAGGGATAATTAAGATTTTCTCAGTCTTGTAAAAAATGTAAACAAAAGCATCTTAAACATTAAAAAAGATGTTCAGTATCACTAGTCATTAGAAAAATGCAAATTAAAACCACAATACTTCACCAGTATAGCTACATTAAAAGACTAACAATACCAAATTCTTGGCAAGTATGTGGGGAATGTGAAACTCCATCTCTGGCAGGTGTGCAGTTTGGCACAACTACTTGGAAAACTTGGCAGTATGTGCCAAAGCTAAACATTTACCTATTTAGCAGTTCCACTCCTGGGTGGATGCCTAACAGAAATGTGTGCTTATGTCTGCCAAAAGATATATACAAGAATGTTTATAGCAGCTTTATTCATAGTAGTTCAAATGGGAAAATAACCCCAAATGTCCATCAAAGGAGAATGGGTAAATAAACCATTGTGGATATTTGCACAATGGAATACTACACTGCAATAAAAAATACTAATTGCAACATGGATGAATCTCTCAGACATAATGTTGAGTGAAAGAAGCTAGACATTAAACAGTAAAATACTCAGTGACCTTATGTATATGAAGTTCAACAATAGGCACAACTAATCTGCTGTGGTAGATGTTAAAATGATGGTTATTTGGGGGGCAATATTGCTTGCAAGAACATTCAAGAGTGCTGGGAATTTCTAAGTCTTGATCGATGTAGTCGGTTACATGGGTATACACTATGTAAGTGAAAAAATGTATTGAGAAATACTGATAAAATGTGTGGACTTTACAGTGTGTTAGGTATACTTCAATAAAAAGCATTTACAAAGTGTCCGTTGGGTTGCTAAACATCTGGATTTTTTTCATTCACCAATTTAGGGAATAACAGGTTGTCATTAAAGGCAGGCTAGATAACTGCGAAATAAATGAATTTGTTTCAGTATGCAGCTCTTGATAGCGTTTTTTTGAGACAGGGTCTTGCTTTGTCCCCCAGGCAGGAGTGCAGTGGTGCGATGCGATCATGGCTTACTGCAGCCTCGAAGTTCTGGGCTCAAGTGATCCTCCCTGCTTACCCTCCTGAGTAGTTTGGACTACAGGCATGTGCCACTATACCTGGCTATTTTGTTTTGGTTCCTGACACACGGTCTCTATGCTGGAGGCTGACTACTACCCACAGAACACCTGTGATGAGGTGGCAGTGACAGAGCTTTTTGTCCCACTCTGCTGCCTTAGCAAACGTACAAGCTGGCATTTGAAGGTCTATCTTTACTGCAAATCTTTTCAACAGGGGAAAAAAATACTATTTTTTGCAGGCACGTGCAAATCCGTCAGGGACACTTTTAGAATAATCTGAACCTCCGAGCTTCTATTTCCTTGCAGTCTTCAAGTGTCACAATAGCAGTATCTAGTGGATGAAGAGACTTTCTTTTCAACTGAGCAGTAAGCAGGAATGAGTGCAGAAACCCTCCCTGGGTTCCTAAGAGATGGAATTCCTTTTGTTGCTGTTACTGTAGAGTTTCTAATTCCCTAATTTACTGCCAGTGTGGATACAGATGCCTCTGGTGCCTGGTGTCACTGTTCCATTAGCAGGTTTTGCACATTTTATTGCTAAGCAACAATTAGCAGTGTGAATCCTGCCTTCTGTGATTTCAATTTGGGCTTCACACATGGAATTTTGCTTTCATCTTTGCAACACAGCAAGAGTGTTCACTGTTCAGTGAAAGCTGTTTTAGAAGAACCTGAGAAAAAAAATTGAGGAGGTAACAGCAGGTGTTCAACCATTCAGTGGTATGGTTTTGAAATGTTATTTATGAAAGAACATTCTCTAATTAGATATCCAATAATTTGAAATAATGCTAAAGGTTGGAGATAAACTCAAAGCAATTCAATTTGTCCTTAAGGGGGAAATGATAACAGTAGAATAATTATAAAAATCCTGAAAGAGAGCAAACCGAAGGTCCATAGGAAAAAGAAAAAGTATTTTAGCAAAAAAAAATTTCTCATGACAATAATGAAAGGAAATGCTTTCTTCCCAACCTAATACCATGCAAAATTCTTTTCATTGAGTTAATGGGATATTATGAAAATTTAATGGAAATAATAGATCTAGAAGAAGAAGTAAGTAAAAGAGTAGAGGAAACAGGAAAATAACTCCATTAAGTTAAATGTAACCTGGTTCTTTATCCATAAGGGAAGAAAAATGACCATGCTTCAGTTTAAATATTGTTTTTATGGAAGTGCAGCTTATTGTGAAACATTCTTGTTAGAGAAGTAAAATTACTAACATTTAAGAATTCAGCAAACATAGATGCATGCTTTTTTAACATATAAAAGAATATTGTTTAAAAAATTCTGTTGGGTAAACATACTCACCCTCTTGTGTTGAAGAGGAGAGGGAACTGTGGTTAAGCCACTTACAGAAATAGGGTCTGGACATTTTATTCTTTTCTTAACAAGAGGTCTGTTTCCTAGTCTCTTCTTAGAGTCTTGAAGAAAGACCCAGGGAGGATCATAGCAGAGAAGAGCCCTAACTGAAGAAGGAGAAAATATTAGATGTTGGATCCTCTCTTGTAGCTCTCGGAAATACACAGTAAGTGTTTTAAGTGGAACAAGGATTTATAGGGGATTAAATTTTGGAGTTAAGAGGTATTGGTCATGGATGAGCCAAATTCTCTTAGAATGTAAGAAACTCTTTGACTGAAAAACTTTTCTCTAAAACTCTCTGACTTAAAAGATAGTTAATTCAAAGCATTTGGTTCTACTTTGAACAGCGATTTCTCAAATCTTTCACTTGGGGTTCATTGAACAAGATCTGCCTCCCTTTAACTTCACCTCATTCAGTTTGACATTTATTGAATTTACTATGAAGTCTCTGTGCAGTTATTTGAATAAATAAAAGGCTTCTTGTCCTCAAAGAACATACAGCCAAATGGGCAAGACAGTTAAATAAATAGCGTATCATGTTTAAGTACAAGGCTAGGGAATGGTACTAATGCTATGATGGTACCAGAGAAGTTACCTTAGCTAATTTTGAGGGCAGAAGCTCAAGGAAGGATTCCTGCAGGTCATGGTGTGTGAACTGCTTGGCTTTTTTATGAAGCTGCAAGTAATAAATCTACGGATGAATACACTTGGAAATGATAATGCGGATAACTCTGGAGGGGAGTTGAAGAGAGGAAAGAGGCTTGACAGCAACTACCATGGTTTATTCCATGTCTTCCTATATTTTGAGAGTGTGTTACAGTAAGAATCTATTTACCCATGGTAAAAAGTATACAAAAATCTAAAAAAGAAAGAGAATTTCTCTTCCCTTAGAATGGCCTTTCAAATATTTGAAGATGGATCTCTTGCTCCAGGCTAAACCGCAGCTCTCAGAGTGGAATGTCATAATATATGTGAGATGCCCTGTGAAGTGCTTGCCATAGGACTTAAACAGATGTTTGCTTCAACCCTCTTCTCTGTCTCTCCCTCTGTCACCAGAAGAAGAGGTCCATCTTAGTTTTTGCCTTTGGGTTATGCTTTTGTTTTTTATATATCTCTTTTTAAAATGGAACCTATTTCTTTAGGGTATCAATGGAACAGAGTTAATCACTGAAAAAGTACAGTTATATAATCAGCTAAATAGGGCTGAATGTAAGGCTTCTGGTGATGCACACTGTATTTATCTGGGTAAGCTAAAGTTGTAGAAACAAGAGAGAAACTGAATTAAAGAACACAGCAGCTTATTTCTCTTTCCTGTGGTAGTCAGAGGTGAATGTTCTAATCTGGTGGGGAGTGCTGCTCCACTTGGTCATTTTGGGATTCAGGTGCCTTCTGGTGTGCTGTTCTGCCATCCTTTAGGGCCTTGGAATCATCTTAGTTGAAGCTGATAGCAGCCATGGATGGGTTCTAGCTAGAAAGGTAGGAAAAGACAGCAAGGAGAAAGCAGACCCACCGTGGGCTCAGAAGTAGCACACATCACTTCCAGTTTGGTTCCATTGGCAATAACTTAGTCATATGACTGCACCTGCTACAGGGGACACTGGGGAATGTGGTCTGCTTAGACAGCCATGTAACTTGCTATAATTCAATTACAATGGAGGAAGAATATATTTTATTAAATGGCTAGCAGTTTCTGCCACACACTTCTAAGTTGCATTAACTTTCCTTAAACATTTTACTAGCTCACAATTAGTTTATAAAAATTAAATATTGCTAAAAAGATTCTAACTGGTCTTACATTTCTTTGGTATGATTTATTCTCTCAAAGTTATTATGCACTTAGTTTTACATAAAAATATTACAGTGGACATTAAATCAATTTATGTCATTTCAAATTAGCTTTCAATACTTATAAAATTATATATTTCTACATTGGAGTCATTCTTATGTATGTATTCTTCTTTCTCACTTAACGTTATTTCATGTACACATTTTCTTCTAATTTTGCCACTCCATAGAATTGCCTTTAATATCATAAAATAGTGTTCCATTACCTTTATGGCTGCATATTTTCGGATATTGATTTGTTTCTTTTTGTATCTTCCCTTTTCATTCCTCCAATTCAAGCAGGTAGCCTGCACTCCCTTGCTGCCCCAGAGAGATGTATGTCAGGTGGAGAGCAGAAGCAATGTATAGTCTTCTGGACTTTGTTTCCAGAAGCCTAAGCCCATACTGGAACTTGGAATGTTTACTGAAGTTATGTAAGTGTCCAGGGGATTTGCCAAAGACAAAAAGAAAGTAAGAAAGTATTTCTGCGAGTATAATTTCCCAAGGCCAAAAAGGAGGCCAGAGGATGGGAGAGAGGTGGAGAAAGAGGCCTGTGGGTCCCTGAGTAATGGGGATCCAGTCCTACTTGATGGCAACAGAGGTGGGGAGATGGAAAGCAGAGACAGCTCAGGCCTTGGCAAGGGTCTGGATGGCCCAAGAGCGCCATGGAGCAGTAGGGCCCTGGGTCCTTACAGGCTGTGCAGACAAATGTCCTGGGACAGAAGGGCCCACCCTATCCCCTGGACATTGCCACTGTATAAGAGTCCTGAAACTTTCTAGGGAGGTGAAAAATTTTCGAGAATGACTGAGATTATATTTTTTGCCTGCTTGGCAGATTTAGATCTCAAAGTCAGAAGTTGAACCGAGTTATAGAAAATAGACATTTCCTGCACATCTAAGTTTGGAAACTGATTTTGATATCTGCTGCTTAAGTGTGGATTGCTTAATCATCCTTTGGCTGTGTCCAGGCTTTTCTTATAAGCTAACAAGGAAATGGGGCCCCCATTCTAAATTTATATGATTGAGTTTTAGAACTTATATCCAGACTTTATATTATATGCTGCTAAATTTAATCTTGTTGGTTTTGACTCATTATTTCCATCTGTGGGAATAATTTTAAAAACTGATTTTATCATCTAGAATATCTATTTCTCTGTTTTGTGTTATTTGCAGAAATGACCAAACGACAGTGCATTCTGTTTTCACTGAAATGGTAACTAGAAATGTAGGGAAGGCCAGGAACAGAGATAGCATGCGGCTGCTGCTGTGGATCCCTTTTCAGTTTTAATATGTATTGCATCCTTTCTGAGTTTTGTTACTCGTTCCATTTGAGTCTACATAACTGTACTCTTATTGAGACTATAGTTCCTTTTTTTCACCACAGATATTGTGTATGATGTTATTTACTGCTTTGGTGATAAACATCTGTTTATTCATCATCTGTTCATATTAAGCCACACATAAGCATTTGTGTGGTGGCAGCAGAGGTGAGTGAAGAACGTACCAATGTAATGCATTGTCCTGAGTGGAATATTTCTTATCCTCATGAGGTCCCCAACGTTCATGGAATCAGTCACATACCGAATGTACTTCATGACACTGCCTGGTGAAGGTTTGCTTTGTAAGGAACAGTTAGAAAACTGCTGAAAATTGTTTTCCCTGGGCGGGGTGGTGGTAGGATTATGGATGATTTTTATTTTTTATATTGTATATTTCTGAAATGTTTGAATTTTATACTTGAATTATATTTATCTATCCATTCATTTATTCATTAAAAAATATACAGGTGTAATGGCTTGTGCCTATAGTCCCAGCTACTTAGGAGGCTGAGGTGGGAGGATTACTTGAACCCAGGAGTTTGAGGCTGCAGTGAGCTATGATCATGCCATTGCACTCCAGCCTGGGTGATAGAGTGAGACCCCATCTCTTAAAAAAAAAGAAACGCAGAACCCCCCAAAATATAATGAAAGATTATATGTGCTGGGCACTTGAGATACAGTGGTGAGCAAAATCAGATATGGTCCATTCCCCCATGGAATTTAGTGTCTAGTGGCCAGATAATAGGGCCTAGAGGCTCATACGTGTTCTGGAATCGGAATGCGTGGATTCAAATTCCAGTCTGCCATTCATTAGCTATTAATCTTGGTCAAGTTCCTTAACTAGTATTCTCCAGTTTTTTCATTTATAAAATGGGGATAATAACTGCAACTCCTCACCTCCTTGCTTAACTGGGTTGTTATGAGAATTAAGTGGAAAAATTTGTAAAACATTTGATGTGGTAGTATGTGGAATACAGTTTTTATTGTGCATGAGTATTAGTGAGGGAGACAGACATTAATTACATGTTCATACAAATACATGTGAAGCAGTAACTGTGACAGGTACTTCATGGAGTGGTTTATGGTGCCAAAGAGGGGGCAAGGGACTACAGCTGGGATTCCGATCTGGTCAGGGACGTGTTCCTAAAGAAGTGGTGAGTGAGCTATGAGTTAATTATCACAAAAACCAATCAAGATGTAAATATCCTTTCTAGAAAAACCCTGGAAAAGATAGGTTGTGAGCAAGGCTGCATAATAGGTTGATTAATTGCCTCTTTGGTAATATCTGCTGGTTGTCTGAGATTTTATGCAGAGTAGTCTTTGGTGGATAGCATGAGAGATATAAGAAGCAGAACATAGCTCAGAAGAAAGGGTCAGAGGGAATAAAGTGAAAGGATCAGGACTCCAGTCTGTTGGTTGCAGTGAGGTGGAGTCCACTTCCATTTGGGCAGGTCAGACACTTCTCATGTGGTTTGATGCAGAAGCTGCAGCTTGATGCTGTCAAGGGGCCTTGGTGTCCTAATTCCAACATCAGGATATTAGACAAAGGCACAGGAGCTACAGATTATTTCTAGGCCAAACGTGTTATTGGGGAGGAAGCTACATTAGCAGTGTCCTCCAAGGGTAACAAAGTGTGCTCTCAGATTACAAATTTATTGGATTTAACAGGATGTTTTCAAAAAAAGGTCTTAGAAGTTTATTAAATTTGGCCAAATTTAAGCAAGCATCTTTATTGTAGGCATTTCAAAAACCTTTACTATGCTAATGGGCATTAGGAATCTCCCAAAGGGAGTTTCTCATGGCTTAAACCATCAGTCCCCTTGGTCATGGGCTATCACGGAATGTCTTGCAGGGCTAGTTATGAGAAGCACACACTGGAAAATATCCTCAGATGTTGTCAAGGCTGGCTGTCAGTGGCCCACGGACAAAGAAGGCTATAGCAGGGAGAGCCTGGAAGGACCTGCCAGAAGGAGCAGGGACCGACTAGACCATCGTTAAGACTAGAAACGACCAGGAGAGGGCAGATGCAGAGTGCAGTGAAGACAGGGAGGGGCAACATCTGGGAGGAAAAGTGGGCTCCAGGAAAAACAGAGAACTTATGCCCTGACTCCCAGATGCCATCAATTACAAGTAGACTGCATTGGGCCCCAGGGAACACAGTGCTGGAGGCTATGGGGGCCTCTGCATCTTGTTTCTACTAGGTTTTGTTCATCATCACAAGCAACACAGAGCTCACATTTTGGGGAATGATGGGCAGAATAAAGCTAAGCCTGCTCCTTTTCTATCACGTTTTCCAGGTTCTCAAAGCTATCAAATCAAGAGTTTTCCTGAGATATAGTGCCCAAGGGTTTAAGATTCCCATTATTCTGAAAGTGAGAGTGTTCTGGTCTCTGACTTAATGTTTATGAGTCCTTAGGTGTTACTGATACTGATTTCCTCATCGCCAGCTCCTGGGTCTGGACTCTTGGCCTCATTTAATACTGGTGTAAAGCTGCCTCACAATACTTCAAGTACCTTGGACTCCTATTTTTGATTTTAGTTTTCTACTTCCATTTTCTGATTATAAAAGTAACAAATATTCATTGCCTGAAAGTTCATAAAAATGTAACATCGAGGCAAAAAATACCCATAATCTTACCAGTGAGAGACAAGCAGTGTTGGTAGATAGCCATCTGGTACTTTCTCTCTGATTTTATTTTTTCATAAATCAAGATTATTTGTGATTCAATTTTGTATCCTGCTTCCCTCCCACTTAATCTTATGCCATGCCTTTTTCTATGTTATTCAAGAGTCTTTAGAAACATAATTTTTAGTGGCTGCCTCATATGTTAAAGATGGAAGTATTGTAATTTACTTAGCTGTTCAATTTCCTCTTAACCATATTTGTTCTTTTCCTAATCTGAATGTCTTTCTTTTTGGTGAAGACAGGGGCTGTTAAGGACTCTTGTTTCTTATTCATATATTACTATTACACAGTTTTTCTCAAGAAGTGGGCTCATTCCTTCCATTTTCATTGATTTATTGAGCATGGTTAGCCTTCGTGTTGTCTTAGCATTTTCTCCTAAGCTTTAGCTCACGGTGCTATTTAACTTTCCTGTCCTAATCTTACCGATGCTACTCACTTGCCCTTCATTCTATCTTTGGTACATGCCCTTTCAAAACATCAATCTATTAGAAATTTCCCTGTATAGAAGCTTGGGATAGTTCCAGTTGGTGCTGAGACACATACTTCTTTGAATAGTTCTGCCTAACCAGCTGAAACTTTCAGTAATTTGCCATGTTACTACTCAAAGTGTTGGGAAATTCAATTTTTGGCCTCTCTTCCTGGCTTGTAGACAGCCCCTTCTCATTTTGTCTTCATGTGGCCTTTTTTCTATGCTTGAGGAGAGAGAGAGAGAGAGAGAGAGAGAGAGAGAGAGAGAGAGGAGGCGGAAGGCAGGAGAGGGGAGGAGAGGGGAGAAGAGGAGAAGGGAGAGGAGAGAGAAGAGATCTGGTGTCTCTTCTCCTTCTTATAGTCACCAGTCCTGTTGGATTAGGGCCCCACCCCTATGACCTTTAAAGAGTTAATTATCTCTTTATTTTATAAATTTAAAAAATTTTATTTTTGAGACTGTCTTGCTCTGTCACCCAGGCTGGAGTGCAGTGGCACACTCTTGGCTCACTGCAACCTCCACCTCCCAGGTTCAAGTGATTCTCCTGCCCAGCCTCTCGAGTAGCTGGGATTATAGGCGTGCACTCCCACGCTCAACTAATTTTTGTATTTTTAGTGGAGACGGGGTTTCACCATGTTGGCCAGGCTGGTCTCGAACTCCTGACCTCAAGTGATCTGCCCACCTCAGCCTCCCAAAGTGCTGTGATCACAGGTGTGAGCCACTGCATCTGGCCTGCTGGGTCATATGGAAATTCTATTTTTAATTTCTTTAGGAACCTCCATACTGTTTTCCACAATGGCTGCATCAATCTACATTATCACCAACAGTGTACAAGAGTCCCCCCGCCCTTTTTTCATACCTTCTCCAATATTTGTTATCTCTTGACTTTTTGATAATAGCCATCTGAGAAGGTGTGAGGTGATATCTCATAGCGGCTTTGATTTACATTTCCCAGATGATTAATTATATTGAGCACCTTTCATATACTTTTTGGCCACTTCAATGTCTTCTTTGGTGAAATATGTATTCAGGTCCGTTGCCCATTTAAAAAATTGGGTTATTTGTTTTTGTGCTATTGAGTTGTATGAGTTCTTCATAAATTTTGGATATTAACTCCTTATCAGATATATGGTTTGCAAACATTTATCCCAATCTGTAGGTTGCCATTTCATTCCGTTGATTGTCTTCTTTACTGTTCAGCTTTCTAATCTGATGTAGCACCATTTATTTATTTTTGCTTTTGTAACCTTTTTTGAACTTTTGGAGTTATATATTTAAAAAAACAATTATTGCTGAAGTCAGTGTCAAGGGGCTTTTCCCTTACGACCTCTTTTAGGAGCTGTATGTTTTCAGGTGTTTGCGAATAGGGGAGAGAGACTGAACTCAATTTTTCTGAAACAAAAGGTAGGAGAGTTTTTAAACACAGAGTGAGCTAGCAGAAAAGTATTGGTGGACATTGGGGATGGGGGAATTGTCAATGTGATTAGGTCATCACATTGTGTCTGCAAATAGTTGCTTATCAAGTTAGGCTCCCATGCTCCCACAGAGACTGAGAGATAGGAGCTCTGTCCTTTCTTGATGATTGTGTTTCAAAAGGATGACTCCCAGGTCCTTGAGAAAGGCATTCCTGGGTTGTGAAACTGGCAGGAGGCTGGGAGAAGATTTACATCTCTAAGGGGCAGAGAAAGAATTTATAATTGCAAATTTTCTAAAGTAAATGCTCCAAGGAAAGGGAAGTCAGGGGCTATAGTCAGGAGGAAATCTGTCTAAAGTTGAGTAGAGCTGAAGGGACTGTTAAGGACTTCTTGGTCAGTGTGTGTGTGTGTGTGTGTGTGTGTGTGTGTGTGTGTGTGTTTCTTTTCAACTGACAAGGCTCAATAAAAATTAACAGAGGCCTTTCCTCTTCAGGGCTCATCTGTTGCATTTCTGGGGTTCTGTTGGATGTTAGAGGGTGGGTGGATGGCCCCATGGAGCAGATGGGAGGCAGCAGGGTGAGGAGGCCAGGAGAAACATTCCTAGGTGGAAAGCCTCTGGGATTATGATGGGTCTCTATGTAAACTGCCCGTGCTTTGATTCTCTTCCTCCAGTAAAAAAAAAAAAAAAAAAAAAAAAAAAAAAAAAAAAAAAAAAAAAAAAAAAATTTAGTTCTTAAATAAATTACACATTTTGTAATTACAAAAAACAAAAATAAACAGATAATTAATTAAATAATAAATGAAAGAAGTGCAAAAATCATCCCCTTCCCAAATCCCTGCATGATGTGAGTTTAAAAATCAACTGCATACAGGTACCCACCTCCAAGCTCTCCCTCCCTCTTTATAAACAGCGCTGGAAATATCCAGGAGACCTGGCAAAAAATCGAATTTTGCCATACAAATAAACAATAAGCTTCTTCTGCCTGTGAGAACCTGCCATCCTAAAGCACAAAGGAACCAGGCCGGGACAGATGCACACAGACTCCATGCAGTCGCGGGGGCGTTCAGGAGCATTTTCCGTCTACTGATGCTTGAGGGACTGGGCCGGCTGGGCCCGGTGCGCGCAAAGGTGTAGTGCAGGGATGCCAGGTGGGCGTGCTGTCGGCAAGGAGCCCGTAATGGTTGTAGTTAAATTGGGGAAGTGATGAAGGCTAATTAAAAAGCACTTAGGCTTGGAAAACAGGAAGCAGAACTCCGCGGCGGGGAGGCGACAGCGTGGCCGGCCCGGCGCCAGCAAGAGTCAGACTGCTGGGAGGGTGGGGGCCTCGCCAGCATGGGCGCCGGGCCAGCGCTCCCAGCCTGCACCGCCGTGCGCAACGGCGACCCCTGGGCAGGGGCGGAAACGCCCGGCTCTGCAGCCTGCCCAGCGCCGCGCTGCTGCTGGTTTCCTCTTCCTTGCAGATTGTGTTCAAACCCATTGCTAATTGTGTCAGTAAACAACAGACACAATTTTCTCTTTGCAGAGAGGTTGGGCAGCGGCGTTTGAACGTTGAGCAAAGCCTTTCCATTCACCTGTAAAATAGAATCAAAGGCTGGACGCCGTGGCTTACGCCTGTAATCCCAACACTTTGGGAGGCCAAGGTGGGAGGATCGCTTGAGCCTAGGAGTTCGGCCTTGGCAACATAGCAAGACTCATTTTCTATAATACAAAAAAATAAAAAAATTGGCCGTGTGGGCTGGCTCGCACCTGTGGTTCCAGCTGCTCGGGAGGCCAAGGTGGGAGGATCAGCTGAGCCCTGGAGGTGGAGGCTGCAGTGAGCCGAGATCCCACTAATGTACTCCAGCCTGGGCGACAGAGCTGAGGTAGGATTAGAGGTGGTGGTGTCAGAAGCTGTTGAATGATGGTGATGGGGGCGATCACAAAATTCTGACTCTTTGATTCTGAGTTTGGTTAGTATGCTAGCTTTTATTTTTCAGGTCTGATTAGTAGCTGAGTGTGTGCCAACTGATTTCCAGACGCTGACATCCTGTTTCATTAGCTTTTTTTTTTTTTTTTTTTTTTTTTTTTGAGACGGAGTCTCGCTCTATCGCCCAGGCTGGAGTGTGTGGCGCAATGCAACCTCTCTCTCCCGGGTTTAAGTGATTCTCCTGCGTCAGCCTTCCGGTAGCTGGGACTGCAGGTCCGCACCACCACGCTGGGCAAATTTTTGTATTTTCAGTAGAGACGGGGTTTCGCCATGTTGGCCAGGCTGGTCTTGAACTCGTGGTCTCAAGTGATCCGCCCACCTCAGCCTCCCAAAGTGCTGGGATTACAGGTGTGAGCCACCGCGCCCGGCCTCCAGTAGGTGTTTTGAGGTTTAGGGTGCTGAGTTATGAACTACTAGACTAGTGGGATGCCCTCTTCCTTGGGCACCTTGGAAAATGCTGTCATTGCTAGGTAATTAGAGAATCTACTTGACCAAATTCTCTGTACAAGGCCCAGTCAAAATGATCATATTCTAGTTTTTATGAATACACCAGTGAATTTTAATCTTGTCAAGCAAACAAAAAACAAACGTATTTTTGGGGTATCAACTACATTTCTTTACTAAAAGCTCTGAAGTTAAAGATAAGCAAGCCTTGATTTTCCACTGGGAAAGCCATTTGGAAATTTACCATTTACATACATGTAGCATCTCGTTGGACAGAGATATAAACCCTGATGTACTTTCAGAAATCCTGTAATACTGTAAAAATGCTGTAAAGACCACGGAGAACATTAAACATACGAATCCAGAAAGTGAAAGTAGATTATGAGGCAGACTTTTAATAAGCATATATTCAAGTAATCTACATGAGGGCAGAGTTTTTGCCCATTGAATTCCCTGCTTTATCCCTAAGTGGGTCTGGAACAATGTCTGGTACGCAAAAGGAATTCAATTAACATTTTTTGAGTAAGTGAACGAAGTCTGTGCTTATCTCTAAGGTAGTTACTTAAGATGCAAGAATCTTATTTCAATAATGGTGTTATCGTTCAAACTATTTTTCAGAAGGAACTTTTCTTTAGGAATTTCCTTTAATACTAGTCCCATTCCTTTACAGCCATATTTTGATTTTTACATCAAATCAATGCATTCTGAGTGAAAGAGTTTACGTGTATTATTTATCAGACATAGAGCCAAATCACTTTCTCAGTTCATTCTCAGAGGCTGAATTTACCATCCTGAAGGTTATTAAAGAATGCCATAGGCGCTAAAGGCAGGTCTTCAAGAGGCATGCCAAAATGTTTGCATTAATAAAGCTTCATTGCAAAAAGTGTCTAACTTCCTGAGATGAATACCTTGAAAGGAATAGAGCTCATCTGATTTTTTCTTGTGTGTTTGATAGAAAATCAATTCCATTACTCATATTTATATTATACTCCTGGAAAGAGCTTAAGTGCTTTTGATTGAGTAAAGAAAGAGGGATAAGGATTGTTTATTCTTTACCACTACTCTTCCAAAGATTTTAAGCTAGCTGAGAATAGAAGCTATTTCTTCCTATTGATTAAATTTCCATTCTCTTATCATTTTATCCATTCCTATTCACTTCCAGAAATTTCAGAATCTTTTATTTCCCCATGCTTTAGAAGTATGTTATATATTTTAAATTTTTTATTTCATATTTAAAAATATTTTGTAGTCTATTTAGATTAAAGAGAGCAGATTCAACATATAGCTATAATCCAAATTCTACTATAATGAAAGTAAATGTTTTTTTTTCCCCAGGCATTTCAGTTTCAAACTGTGTATCACTTATGAAAATATGCGTAAAACATACATGTAGAAACGTAATGAATTGTCATAAAATAAATCCTATGTAACCATGATCTAAATTAAGAAAATGTACATTATCAGTATCTTGGAAGTTCTCCTGGCTGCCCGTTCCTAATGAAAGCTCACTCCCTCTCCACTAAAGATAACCAGTATCTTCTTATTTTTGGTGGTGATTACTTTGTTGTACTTTTCCATCCAAGTAGGCATCTATTAACACCATGGATTACTTTTGCTTATTTTTGAACTTTACAGAATTACGCATAAGGTATATCAGAGATTCCTTTCTATCAGCATCATGCTTATATGATTTATCCATGTTATTTCTCTTCCTTGCTTAGAATTCCATTGTATAAAAGTTGACAACAGTTGATCTGTTCTACTACTGATGAACATTTGGATTGTTTCCAGGTTTTGGTTATTGTGATGTGTGATGCTATGATAGGAACACTTTAGTAGGTGTCTCCTTGTACACATGTGCCTGTATTCCTGTTAGTATATAGCTAGGAGTGGAATTGCTGGCTCATAGGGTATGCAATTTAGACTCCTAACAACACCATAAGACAGTTTCTCTTATTCTGTACCCTTGACAACAGTGGGTATTTTCAGTCTTTAAGATTTTTATATTCTTATGGATCCTGCACATTTGTTCTTCCTTTTCAAAGCTGTTTTCGCTCTTCAGGTCATTTGCATTTCTATATGAGATTTAGGATAGGTTTATCAATTTATACAAAAATATCCTGCTGCAATTTTGAATAGGCATGCAATTAATTTGTAAGTCACTTTTGGGACAATTAACATTTATTATTGCCATGTATTTTTCTTTTACTTATGTTATAAACTGCATTATACATAGTTATTAGTTTTGTTTAATCAGTCAATTATTTAAAAATATTTATTATTTATTTGCATCAAGATATAATGTACATACTGTAAAATGCATCATTTTAAAATGTATATTTCAGTGGTTTTTAGTATGTTCGTTAGGTTGTGTAATCATCACCACTGTCTAACTCTAGAACATTTTCATCACCCCAAAAAGGAACCCCATACCTATTAGGGTCACTAATTATCTTTTAAAGAGATATAAAAAAAATTATATTTACTAGTATAGGTAACTCTTTCAGTGCTGTTCTTTTGTGTAGATTCATATTTGCATCTGGTATTATTTACCTTCTGCCTGAAGCAAATCCATGAACATTTCTTGTAATGTGTGTCTGCTCGTGATAAATCTACTCAGCTATTTTACTTTAATTTGTGAAGGCTGTCTTCACTCGGTACAGAATTCTAGGTTAATAATTTTTTCTTTTAGTACTTTTTAAAATATTGATGCACTGTCTTCTTGCCTTGCTCACATTCTTTCCAAAGAGAAATCTGCGGTCAGTCTTAGCTTCGTACGTAAAATATCTTTTAAAAAATCTGACTGCTTTATTTTATTATTTTTTTCTTTTGGAGAGGAAGCCTCACTCTTGTCCCCCAGGCTGGAGTGTGATGGCGCGATCTCGGCTCACTGCAACCTCCGCCTCCCAGGTTCAAGCGATTCTCCTGCCTCAGCCTCCTGAGTAGCTGGGATTACAGGCTCCTGCCACCACGCCCGGCTAATTTTTTTGTATTTTTAGTAGGGACGGGGTTTCACCGTGTTGGCCAGGCTGGTCTCGAACTCCTGACCTCAGGTGATCCGCCCGCCTCGGCCTCCCAAAGTGCTGGGATTACAGGTGTGAGACACCACGCCCAGCCCTTATAAATATTATTGAGCTTTGTTCTGGGATGCAATTAAGTTACTGGAAACAGTTGATCCTTTCAAACTTTGGGCATTTTTTAGGCAGGGACAGATTGGCATTTAGTATAGGACAAGTTATTTTCCATTATTGAGGCAAAATCCTTTTGAGTTCTCTACCCAATGCTGTGTCTACTAAGAGGTTTTCAGTTTGACTCATGGGCACAGACACTATTCTGGCCTGTGTGTGAACACTGAATACTGTTTCCTCTAAGCCTTTTGGATGGTTCTTTCCTTGGCCTTGGGTAGTGTCCTTTCATATGTCTGCTGATCGCTACTTTGCTGAATACTATGTAGAAAAGGACCCTCTGCAGATCTCTGGGATTATCTTCGTTCAACTCTTTCTTTTCTGACCCTGTAAACCCTGTTTGTCCTGTTCTCCCTGGGCTCTAAGCTCCATTTCCTCAACTAGAGCAGTCCTCTGGGCTCTGCCTGGCTTTCACCTCCCTGTTCTGTGGTCTACAGACTAAATTCAGGCAATGATAGATGTATCATATTTGATTTTTATCTCTCAGAGACTACTCTTCTTTGTCTGATGTCAACTTTTTTGCAAGCTCCTTTTTCATATACTTTGTCTTTTTATTGTTATATTTGTCTCCTTATTCTTTTAGATTTTCTACATATGCAGTCATATTGATTGTATAAAATAAAAGCTTATTTCTTTCTTTGCAATAGGTAGGTCTTTTATCTCCTGGCTCCACTGCAGTGGTTAGCACCTCCTGTATAATGTTTAATAAAAATATCTGTAATAGGTATATTTGTCTCATTTGCATCTTAAAGGGACTGCTTTCAACATTTTACCATTTGATATGGTGGATATTGTTGTTTTTGATAAGTAGGTTTAAGATTAGGAGCATTCCCTTCTATTTCGAGTTTGCAAAGATGTGTATGTGTCTGTGTGTGTGTTAAGTTGTAAATGGATGTTGACTATAATCAAATGCTTTTAATGCAGCTATTGAGATAATGAAATGATATTTCTCCTTTATTAACATGGTGAATTACACTGATTTTTTGGAATAGTAAACCAACCTTATATTCCTGGGATAAATTCAACTGGTCTATGGGGTGTATTTTTCTTTATAAAAAGTTGCTGATTTGGTTAGCTAATAGTTTGCTAAAGGTTTTAACATATGTGTTAAATTGGCCTGTCATTTTCTTTTCACATAATGTCCTTCCTTGTCAGTTTTTTGTAGTAAGGAAAAGCTAGCTACATAATTGTTCTGTTTTTTAAAAAATTTTCTGAAGGAGTTTGTTTAAAATTGGCATTATTTCTTTCCTAAATATTTAGGAGAATTTGCTGTTTGGTCAGGCATTTTTGCTTTTTTGGGAGAGCAAGGGGAAGGTTTAAAATGCAGATTCCATTTTTAAAATATAAGATTGCTTTGCTTTCTATCCTTCTTGTTTCAGTTACAATAGATAAGTTGTTTTTCTAAGATTTGTACATTTTATATAAATTTTCTAACTTATTGGCATAAAGTAGTGCATAATTTCCTTTTGTTATCTTTTTTATACCTAGGTAACATTTGTAGTGATGACTCTCTTTCTATTCTGATATTTGTTATTTGTATATTTTTTAAAATTAATCAGTCTCACTGGTTTTTGCTCAATCTTATTATATTAGTTCTTTTAGTACCAACTTTTTGCTTTGTGGATCTTCTCTACTGGTTATTTCTTTTCTACTTCATTAATTTCTGCTCTTATATTTATGATTCCTTTCCTTCTGTTATCTTGGTTTTATTTTCTGCTTTTAGGCTTGTTGAGATGGAAGCTTACTTGATTTTTAGTTTTTCTTCTTTTCTAAATATGTGTTTAAGATTATATTCCCTCTGAACTCAGCTTTAGTTGCATCCCACAAATTTTGGCAAATGGTATTTTTTTTTGTTATCATTCAGCTAAAAATCTACTCTAACTTCATTGTGATTTTTTCCCTTTTACTTATGAGTTATTTAGATGTTTATTACTTAATTTCCATATATTAGGTAATTTTCTGTTTTTTTTATTGATTTCAAGCTTAATTGCACTGTAATCAGAGAACAAACTCAGTATGATATCAGTGCTTTGAAATTTTTTTAGACTTGCTTTACCGCTCAGCATATAGACAAGTTTTGCAGATGATTTGTGTTTTTCAAAGGATTATTTGTTTCACAGTTGTTGGGTGCAGTTTTCAATAAATGTGCATTTGGGCAAATTACAGTCTTCACATTTATTTCATCTTTCTTGATTTCGTGTGGTGTTTCAAAATCACTACTGTGAGTGTAGATTTATATTTCTCCTTGTAGTTTTGTCAAGTTTTGCTTTAAAATTTTTGAGGTAATGTTACATGCATACAAATAGGGAACTGTTTGTCTTTCTGGTGAGTTGATTCTTTTAGAATAAAGTATACCATTTATTTCTATTTTTTCTTTAATAAGCTAACATCAACTTTCTTTGGATTAGTTTTTGCATTGTATTTATTTCACCTCCTTTCGCTCTTTCTGTATTCTTGCAGTTCAGATATATATTGCTTATACTTTTTTTAAAATTCAAATTTGAAAATATTCATCTTTAATTGTAGAACTTATTCATAGACATTTATTGTAATTATTCATGTACTTGGGTTAAAAAACACTTTAGTTTGAACATTTTAGTGTGTGCTTTCTATTTGCCCTACCTCTTTTTTGTCCCTCTTTTTTTCTCTTTTTTTGTCTTTCTTTAGGTTCATATTCTCCCTCTAGTTTGGAAGCTACATATTGTTTTATTAGTCTTTTATTACATATTACAACATACAAGCTTAGATTATAAGAGTCTAATGCTAATTGTTGCTCTTACTCTTTTCTCAGATAATACAAGAAGTTTAGGTCACTTTAACTTTAGTTTTATCAACTTGTCTTCTATTGTTGTCATGAATTAATGCTTCATATATTTGAAACTGTAGAAGACATTATTATGTTTTACAACAGTTTTTATAGTCAGTGTTCACTTGGATATATAAATGTGTTTACCATTTTTTCCAGTTTGCTATTTGTCTTTTAACATTTTTAATAGTATTTTTAAATCTTAGAAATGTTTAATTTTGTTATTGGCTGAATCAGTCATTTTCTTTAGGCCTCTGAGTCTTGCTTGGGAAGGTTTTCCCACACTGAGATTACAGAAATACTGCCCGTATTCTTATTTTTAATATTTAGACTTTTAATTCATCCAGATTTGTTTTCCTTTGTGGTGTGAAAGTAAGGATCTGACTTAACATTTTCCAGGTGGTTAGCAAAATGGCTCAGCCCTAGTAATTGACTATCCTCTTCTTTTGACCTGCAATACAACTTTATTATATAATCATTTCCTTTTAAACATGGGCCTTCTATTTTCTTGCCCCTACTATTTTACTTACCATGATATGCAATAATTAATATGGAACTACTGTGTGACAAAAACATTGTCTTGTAGTCTATAAGGATGGGTCATTATAGTTGAATAGGAATCTGATGGTTTTGGTGTTTTAATCACCAAACGTATATCCTGATAGAGATAAGCAGCAGAGCTCTCTGGAAAAAACTGTGGTGTAGGTGACAGAGATTGTCCTTTCTCCTTTCTTCTGAACAGCTTTCTAGATCTCTGGGGTTCCAGGGTCTTCAAGTAATCCCAGGCTACACAGGGCTCTTCCCCAGACCAGTTCTCTTAGAGCAATGTCTGTTTCTCTGAATCTATTTTTAAATCATTTCTACAAAATTCTACTCTCATAGGGTCTATGTTGGAAATCCTCTGAGAAAATAATTTATACTAGGGCAGTGATGACTGAAGAAGGTTTAATGTAGTCATAGCAAATGTGTGGCGTTATAACAATGGGCCTCCTCCTGCACCTAAAGTAAGTGGTCATGGTGTACTTTTCTGCTGATCTTGGACTTGACCTGAGAACTCGTTCCAAAACAACACTCCAGGATTCCTTAAAATTTCATCAGAATTTTCATGTGGGTTGGAATTAGTGTTCCACCCCTAGAATAATGTTTAATTTTCCCAGGAGAAACAGGCACTGAAGAAATGGGCTGTGATGGTGGCTCTGTTAGTTTCCCAAGGCTGCCACAACAAAGTCCCAAAGACTGCATGGTTTCAAACAACAGGAATGTGTTGACTCACAGTCTGGATGCCAGAAGTCCAAGACCGAGGTGTCTGCAGGGCCATGCTGTCTCAGGGATAATCTTTCCTTGGCTCTTGTAGCTTCTGGTGTTTGCTGGGAATCCTTGGTGTTTTTTGACTGGTAGATGCATCACTCTAGTCATAGGGCTGTCTTCTCCCTGTGTGTCTTCGCACTCTCTTCCCTCTGTGTGTGTTCACATTTCCCATTTTTATAAGGAAATCAGTCATATAGGATTCGGGCCCACTTTAATGACCTCATTTTAACCTGATGACATTTGTAAAGACACGGTTTCCAAAATAGTCACATTCTAAGGGACTGCAACATGAATTTTTTGGGGGAGCGGCGGAGGGGGAGAGACACAGTTCAACCCATCATAGTGACACTCAAAGTTGTAGGTGAAAACCTATTTATCTATGTTTAAGAGCAGTACTGTTAGAGTCAATCAGTCCTGTACTAAAACACAACATCGCTTGACAGTGGAAAAGCATTGAAGATAGTCATTATCATTTGTGTGGTTAAAGAGATTCTGGGCTGAGAGGCACAATGCAGAATTAAACTCTTGGAAGCGTCCTGAGGACTTAACAGGATTATTCATATTTGCTGTTATTTAGTTCTATTTTAAAGAGATATGGAGGCAATGTGTATGCCTCACTAAATTATCCTTATATCTTTCACTGCAGATACAGCAATGCAAACAAGAGCTAGGTCTGAATGCATTGTCGCATTTCCAGAACATGTGTTTGTTTGTTTGTTTTTAATGAACCTGGCAAGTATTTGAAGTTATGAAGGAAGAATCTAGTTCTTTTGTATTGACTTTTTGGTATCACAAATTATAGGTCAACTGAAATTTATCAGCACAGGTTCAGCAAGCTTCAGGTGTGATTTGAGTTCATCTATGTGAAATGAACAAAGTCAGAAAGTAAATTATGAGGTAAGAAATAGTACTTACTAGGCATTGCGAGATCTATTTGGTCAGCAGCTTAGTTGATTCATGGTTAAAAAAACATATTAGACTGTGCTTTATGAGGGATTAGCTTCTTACTGCTTATATGAAGTAGGCATAATCTAATTTTATTATTAGTGCAGAACAAATGTGCTAAGGCTTGAAAGGTGTGCTAACCCAGATATGGATGAAAACTGTTCTTGAGGTTGAAATCGTTTGCTGTTATTTGGGAAAAGGTTTCAAGTGATTAGTCAGACACCTGGGTGATGCCACCCAGCTATTTACAGTTTCTCTAGTAGTTAAAAATAAATTCAATATTGTTTCTTTATTAAGGAAATCAGGATAGAAAGGCTGCCCTGTGTTAGCCACATTAATATAGTTATAAATGAGATTAACAGAACACACTTATTGAACTCTCATTAGATGCTAGGTTCTTTGTCAAGGGCTTTACGTGGATTATTTTATTTAATTCTCGAAATTGACAACTGAGGTATATTTTTATTCCAGTTTACAGAGAAAATAAGAAATTTCACTAAGGCCACCACTGGTAAGTTGTGGACTTATGGACAGTCTCTTAACTACAACAGTACAGCGATGTCTCTTATTCTGCAGGTGATTTGCTATGGCAACTAACTAAAAAAATTGTTTGATTTGTAGCAGGCTTGGAGACTATATGGCATGGGTGAGTGTGCGCACCTTGGAGTTACACAGTTCTAAGTTTAAATTTCAGTGCCATCTCTTGTGCAAAATTCTTAATCTACATGAACCTCAGATTTCTCATTTTTTTTATTTAAAAAATTTTTTTTTCTGTCAACTTTGCAGAGAAGTAAGATTTCTTATTTTAAAATGAGGGCAATGATGCCTCTCTTGCAGAATTGTAAGGATTCAATCAGATTATAATTGTAAAGTGATTTTAAAAAGTTTGCAACAAAATCTTTCCTATTCTTTCTCTCAAATTCTTTTTTTTGGCTGCATGATTATGTGATCTGATTTCCATCATTTTAAATTAAAACCCATTTCCAGTTGAAAGAAAAGTTGGCGAGCTAAATCTCTTTTCTGTCCCATCACTGTAGAAGAGAGAACTGTCAAGATTGTTCAGCATTTTAAATAAAACCACCTTTTTGCAGGAGAGAGATTAGCGTAAGATATGTTAAAAGAAAGGTCATAAATATTCTAAAAGCAAATAGGTGCAGAGCTCTTGTTCTGGGGAGCTACGTTAGGTTTCTTAATTTTGTAGGAGAGGAGCCTTAATATTATTTCCTTCTCCTTTTAATCTTAATCTGCACATATTTCAGAAGGGTCATTCACTGGCCTTTTTTAGCCAGTCCTGCCTGATTAGAGAGAAATTAGGTTTGGTTTTGTTTGACAACCTCAGGACAGCCAGAAAGATAGGGAAAAGGAGCCCACAGATTCTTGCTTTAAGTTTACAAAACTTTGTAGTTCTGCTTAAACATTTAGATTAACAATAGGGAAGATTTAAAAATAACTTTAGATTTTCTAGTGTTCAAAGTCTTTACTGAAGCCATGTATTCTGAAAAAGTTATCACTTTATAATTAAAAGTATCAAGCCTGGCTGCAACCTTTAAAAAACAAACTTTACATGGGTTACAATTTTTGTTTTAGTAGCATAAAAACGAGTGGATTGCCTTAGATATGTCTATCACGTAGTGTTCTGTAATTTTTCTTCCCTGTAGAGTTATTATGTATGCATGCTTACTAGTTCTGTTGTTTGACTTACAGATACCTATCTTTGGTTTCAAAATGTGTGTGTAAGCATTGCTAGGTGGTGCTAACCATCTATAATTATCTCTGTTTCTTAATAAAGAAATGGTATTGAATGGTCAACAATTAATTGTTTAGCAACATAGGATTTTCAAGCAAGCTGCTGCTTTTTAGAATCAGGGAAAGGAAAACGTATCCATGTACTTGGTCTATCATTGGGGCAGAATTTTGCTACCCATAGCTCTTCTTAACAGCAATGGATGCCAGCAGGTTTATGACTTTATCTCTAGAGTTATTGCCCCAAGAAATAGTATTTCAAATGCAGCTATCTCTGTGAGATATCTCTATAGAGACTCTCTTTTACTTTGTGCTTTGAAATGTATATTATTAATGTACCAACCCCTCTTATCACTAATGCTGTCAGTGACGTAGACAGCAGAGGTGTAAGGTATATCAGTTAAAATTTTAAAAAGCTAAAATATTGAATGAAAACAGTGAAGTCTGCTGGAAATCATACCAACATCTGGTGCTCAAACATTTTTCAATATCTATATATTGCCAGAAAATAAGAAATGTTTGAGATCATCTATAGTGTCTTTTGGTTTGGTAGAGGAATTTTTCAGCCAAAGACAGTAATATAAATGCCAAACATTTTCTAAGTTGTCTTAGGATCTGTGAAAGTCTCAACTTAGACTTGTACAAACAAGCACTATTTTCTCCAACATACATTGCTTGAGAAGTGCATTTTGAAAAAAAGTATGCTACAAACCGACATGTTGGAGTAAACATGTGAAAATGATGCATGTAGCAGAGTTACAGTTTTGTTCTGCTCGACACTTGACATATAATTTTCAGTAATCTTCTAGCGATTAACCTCTGATGTTTCTTAACAAGGTCTACTAATCTGAATCTTTTTTTGGGTGCCTTGGAGTTGTAGGTTATTGTTTTTAGACACTTGGAATTACTGCTGTTCTTCTGAGGCCTGTCTGAAGAGGGGCTGGCTTTGTTAATTTCTAATGCAGCAGCAGTAAGAACAATATTTAGCACTTATGAGGCTCCACTTCTCAGTTTCAAAGCACTTTACAAATATCAATTAATTGCGTTGAATGGGGAGCTCTGCAGCTGCTGAGTGAAAAAAGAGCACACAGTGATTGGCTCATTATCATTTACAGCTGTTGAAAAATGTTCTTCAAAGAAATAATTACAGATTTTCATATATATTTAAAGAAAAAAGGAGCAGGCAGGAGGCTACTAAGGGTCTTCTTTAACAAATGACTCTTGTCTTTCCATTCTGTTTCGAGAGCAGCAGCTTTATTGCGAATAATTATCCTCTCCTGGACAAAAAGAAAAAAAGCGCTGCAACAGCCCCTTCCCTAAGAAAACGCAAGACAGTAAATCCTCTTTTGAAAAATAATCTCAATTTCACCAATTTTGATTTGTTTAGAATTTTCGTTTCTTAGTGGTTGGACTGCTGCTGGACTTTGCCTAATGCAGCCTTATTTAACGTCTGATCCAATGTTGGCTTTGTCCAGCTTTAATTATGCATGAAAACAGAACAAGTAGACAATAATGGATAGTGCTTCTCGCTTTGTTTCCAACAGAGCTTTATCACCATATGGGCGCCAAAAGAAACTATCTGAACTGTCTCCCTGTCACCAGGAAGAAGAGATACAGGCAGTCCTGGCCATAGAAACAGATTCCGTTTCTTTTCTTTTTCATTCTTTTTTCTTTTCTTTTTTTTTCCCCCTTCTCTTCTTTTTCATAATGTGAATCTCCTGGTTGAGCAGATAAGCTGCTAATTCTATTAATTTTCTTATCAAAATCAGCAAGGGAAGCGAAGCTTCCAATTTAGTGATTTATTATCCTGAGCAAGCTGTGCGGAGTATGCCTTTCATATTCTGTAATTGGCACTAGAGGGGAAGAGACTTTCAAGGGAGATGCACTCAGCAAACCGTTTCCATTTCAATTGACTATTGAGCAAACAAATGGAGTGTCCTTTCATTGGCTTAAATCATTTAAAATGATAAAGCTAGCAATTCTGCATTTGAATGTATGCCAGTGGATATCTGTGTGTGAGATGCTGACCCCTAAGACATTAAAATATGAGCATAATAACATCTCTCTATAGGATTTGCCATCAATAAAACATCCAAGTGCAATACGTTAATTGACATGCAAAAGGCCAAAATTGATCACACATGTAATCTGACCCTTATTATTATACCGCCCCCAAAGGCCTTTGAAATCAACATCTTTCCTTTGCATACTGAGTATTGAATATTTTGGTATATGAAAGTTGGCTGCATAAGCAGTGGACTCTGATGTTTTAACACTGAAATAAAAACCAGTCTCAAAGGCAGGAACATTATCAGTTTGAAAGGAAAGAAAGTGGTGAGGAGTTGGATGCCAGGAGTGAGTGGGACTGATTGAGATATAGAAGGAAGACTAGGTTTCAGGTGGGAAAAAAAGTTGCTTTCTGTTTAGTGTCATTTGAAAAGCTAGGGAAGGCTCCTCTGCTCCAAATATTATCCTCAGTAAAATAGGAACTTGAATTGTGGGTATCCATTTCTTTTTATTTAAGACCACAGTTTTTTAAAGTAAATTTTGTATAATAATTGCCACCAACTAGTTTAATGGTTGCAAATCATGCTACCTACATTGCTCTACTTAAATCTAAGAGCAAGGCACTAGTGCCCCCATTATACAGATAGTGCTTAGAGAAACTTGAGAGTTTAAGTATCATACATAATGCTTAGATGCTTGAGAGGTTAAGTAACTTGTCTGATTTTACTTGGTTAGAGTGTTCAAGCTGGGAGTTGAATTCAGCACCATGAGATATGAAACTGTTGTTTTCTAATCACTGTATTAGTCTTCCTCTAGCCTTGTATTTCTGGGAGAAATAGTATCCTTAGCCCTTAAATCTTAAATATAAATCACACCTTGAATTGCACCATACCCAAACCCTTGAATTAGGTTTTGGTACTAAAAACTTCAAAGATAATTTATTTTGAAAATTGAATCATTTTTTTTCTCATAATATATTTCATGAGAATGATGATATTTTGACAATTTGGAAATTCCCTCCTAATTCTTTGGGATGTTTTCCCCTTGCATTTCCTGGGAGGAACAAGGTAGGGGACGATTTTCCCTTGCAGAGTGCTGTCTATAGTGCCTATGGCTGGGAAATGTACTATAGGAGTGTGCACAATGATTTAGACATTTGTTTGGGCTTTTAATCTTTTCTCATCTACACGTACCACCAAAATAAAAACCAGTGAAGTATGTACTCTGTAAATCTGCGTGTTCTCTCACTCCTCAGAAATATTTCAGAAAGAACTTGACACTTGTAATCAGAGCTGGGCTTAGATGCAGCCTCCTGTTGAGTCAGCGATCCCGCCTCTCTTTGTTTCCTATTTTAAATAGCACAAAAATAGTACAGGCCAGAGGTTATGGGCTGGGGAAGCGCTGCTGTTGGAAGAATATAAAATCTACTTATGTGCAATGAGTTTCCCCCAACTTCAAGTGTGTGGATTATTGAGTTAAGAGAAGAACAAGTTGAGAAGACAGTTAGAAAGCGTTGTGCATTAGACAGGTGGGGAGAAGCTGCTGGGCTTCACGTGGGGCACAGCAAAAAGACAGATGGACTGTGGTGATGATGCAGTGCAAATGCTTGGAGAATATAGTTGCAAAAGACCTCAGGAGATTATTTGCAAACAGAAGTGGCTTGACAGTAATTAGTAAGATTTCAGTTTAAAAAAAAGACTATGTTGGAACTTATTAAGAGAAAAGAGGAAAAGCAGATAATAATTATCACGGGATAATTCTCTGGGATGCTGGGAGATGTGCAGTATGTGAGAATAAAACCAATAGCCCAACGTGGGGAAAGGAAAGAGGGAAAAGTGAACCAAAGAAATGGGGACAAAATAAAACTATACTTGTGACAATTCTATTTATGAAACACTCTGTGTCATGTAACTGTGCTATGAGCTTTCCATATATTACCTCCTAAGATTATTTCCATTTTTTTGCATAAAGAAATTGTCTAGCTCTCATTCTATGCTCTATATTGTTTTAATAATAATTAAGGACATAATAAATGTGATATCCTAGAATTTTTGATTTTTTTTTTTTTTTTTTTTTTTTTTTTTAGTGGAATGCAAGCTATAAAAGCATGGATACTGTGAATTAACAAGAAGTATGTATGGGACAAAAAAGTTTGAGAATACCTGATGCAATACTGAACCTGGTTTCAATACCTGGTTTCAATAATGAACTAAGATGTTATAAACTCTGGTTACTAATAGTATAGTTTCAGTGAAGTCACAGTAATTTTCTGATCTTCAATATAAGATGGAATAAAACATCTTCTATTTACAATATTTAAAAAGTAAATTAAAACTGGCATTATAAAGACAAAGCCTAATTTTGAAAAAGGCATTTTCTGAGACAAGTTATTTGTATTTTAAAGTGACCATATATATGTTTTTTAAGGTTGCTTGATGCTTTATAAAGCTATCTAGGATAAAACTAGAACTTTGTTCTTCATCTCCTTCCAAGTTTTCACCTGTATCTTCTGTGTACAAAGGTGACTTTGACTTCAAAGGGCAATGGGAATTGAATCTGGTATGAAAATGGGATGAGGAAATATATAGTCTTTCAGGAAAAGGTCATTACATACTGTACAGAAGCTCAACTTTTATTTTGATTAAATACTTTTTTTCAGTGCGATTTACTAGCTAATTACTTCCTCAGCTTTGTGGCTTTGCAAGACTTACCTGATCTATCATGTCTACTGAAGGACTTAGAAGCCTCAAGGTTTGTGTGCTTTTATGTAAAATTATTAATATTAATAATAATTAACCATAAATGGTAAGTAGGGTGGGCCAGACGGCCTTTTCTTCTTTCAAAAACATCTTTATGTTCTTAGTTATTCAGAAGGTAGAGGTGATAATACAAAGACACAAGTGACATTTTAAATTAAATTATTGATTTTGGAATGAAGCTTAAATAATTTACTCAACAAGGGGACTGACTTTCACCTGTACCAGACTGAAAGCTCTAAATACCATCTGCTTATATCAAAGTAAAACTTTTTGTCTGTTTGTAGTCATGCTGAGTTTGGGGCTCCTATTGGCCTCATTTTTAAGAACCTCACCCATTAATCATTAGTATTAGTTGGTACCACTGGTAATTAGTCTTTTAAGTTGCAACCAGATGGAATGTATAAATTATTAGAAGTTTCCTGCCAGGCGTAAGTGTAGATGATTCACGGGCCTATGGCATTTTTCTGTGCTCTGTTCCTGATAGGAAAATGTAAAGAGTATGCAGTTGGAAAGACTAACCTTCACACTTTGTCTTGATTTCAACAATTGCTGACTGTTACTTCTGGTGTATCTAGAGACACAACAGGCTGAGTTCTTTTAAAGTTATTTTTAGACTTATTTTTACATTTTAAAATTCTCGACCACTTCTTTTGGTTCCCTGTTTGATTCTTCTTTCTTTAATATCAGTAGCATGTCACTCCAGAAGCAGTCTTATCTGCAGGAAATGTAATATTGCCAGGAATCTCCTTGCTGTGGCCAGTGGTAGGGGAGTTGAGGGTAGAGAGAGTGGGAGGGGTGACCAGATTCAATTTTTCTCAATGGGAACTTAACCTCAAATATATGTGTCCTCTAGTTGTAATCCTAAGCTCAGGCACATGTGATCTGGCATATAGATTAAAGGAAAGAAATTTGGCCATGAGGCTTACACTCACTTTCTTGTGCCTTTTTCTTGTTCACTTTCCTGGCAAAACCCTCCTCCTAGATAAACCCTAGTAGTCACCTACATTTGTCCATGCCTATATTCAAGCAATGAAGCATTTCTGGAGAAAGTGAGATAAAATATTGGTAGGAGTATAAATTTATGATTACGATGTAATTTTTGATGTGTAAATTAGACAGAAACCCAACTTAAGCTAGCTTAAGCCAAAATAGAAATTTATTGGCTTATGTAAGTAGAAAGTTAAAAGAGTGGTCAAGCTTCAGACATGGCTGGGTCTAGACATTCAAACAGTATCATCAGGGCTCTGTTTTTCTCTCCAGCTTGATGACAAGATGACATTGAGCAGCCTTAACTAACCTTACATTATCTTTATACTTTTTTTTGAGACGGAGTTTTACTCCTGTTGCCTAGGCTGGAGTGCAGTGGCGTGATCTCAGCTCGCTGCAACCTCCACCTCCCAGGTTCAAGTGATTCTCCTGCCTCAGCCTCCCAAGTAGCTGGGATAACAGGTGCCTGCCACCATGCCCTGCTATTTTTTGTGTGTGTGTGTTTTTGGGAGAGATGGGTTTTCATCATATTGGCCAGGCTGGTCTTGAACTCCTGACCTCAGGTGATCCACCCATCTCGGCCTCCCAAAGTGCTGGGATTACAGGTGTGAGCCACCACGCTTGGCTTCTTTATACTTTTAATACCAGTGAGAGGGAAAGAACATCCTTTGTGATAATGGTAATGAAATTTTCAGGCCTGACTTGGAATGGCCCAGCTTGGGTCACGTGCTTATCCCCTGTATTAGTTCGTTCTTATGCTGCTAATAAAGACTTATCTAAGGCTGGGTAATTTATAAAGGAAAGAGGGTTAATTGGCTCACAGTCCAGCATGGCTGGGGAGGCCTCAGGAAACTTACTTACAATCATGGTGGAAGGGGAAACAAATATGTCCTTCTTTACATGGCAGCAAGAAGGAGAAGTGGAGAGCTAAGGTGGGGGTGGTGGGGAGCCCCTTATGAAACCATCAGATTTTGTGAGAGCTCACTATCACAAGAACAGCCTGGAGGTAACCAACCCCATGATTCAATCACTTCCCACCAGGTCCCTCCCATGACACATGGGGATTATGGAAACTACAATTCAAGATGAGATTTGGGTGGGGACACAGCCAAACCATATCATCCCTGGACCAATAACTCAAGTCTTTGTCCTATGTCTAAGTGTAGCATCACAGTCCAGGCTAGATCCACTTAAATCTCATGGGCTTAGCAGGCATAAAATAGAGTGGGGAAGGGGAACATTCATGTCAATATTGAAACTCAAGGGTGTTCTCAAAGCTGCATGACACTCCTACTACAACCTTCTGATCTGAGTTGCACTTCCATTCCTAACAGCAAATATTTCAAACCGTCTTCACTGCTATCTCTGAACTCTCCCCCACCTCATCCCAACTTTTTCTCTGATGCTTGGCATGAATAACTTTTCCTTCTATCTTACAAAGAAAGTTGAAGTGAACTGATGGAAAGCCCCACCATCAATTTCCTGCTGCCCAACAATTATGCAAATGCGAAGGCTTCTATTTGCATCCATCCTCTTCTCTTTTGTTACACCGGAACAGGGGCTTCTCTGTCTATTTATGGCCAGTGCCATCGTCTGTGCCTTTTCCTGCCTTCTAACTCTAACCCTCTCTTTATTTATTTCATGCACATCGTACTGCATTCTGCTACCTGGAGTTTACATTCCTTCCTACATTCCCATTCTCATTCTCCTTTATCTTTTAATAAAACTCTCAATTGGTCATATATTCCTTATCCAATTTCTGTCTTAAAGCTTTCCTTCTTTCAAAACCAAACTTCTTGTGAATGATAACAATCCTTGCTATCTCCATTTTCTCACTTCCCACTTACTTCTCAACCCACTCCAGTCTAGCTTTGGTCAAAACAGCAAACCCTCTTATGTCCCTTCTGCTTTAAACTCTTCAATGTTAGTGCATTGCTCTTAGGATAAACATCCAAATTCTCAAAATGACTTAGAAGGCTCTAGACAGTCTGGTTCCTAGGGAGATTTCCAGCCACATCTTGCACTGCACTTTTCATTTCACATAACCATCTTCTTTCGGTTTCTCACATGTATTGCAGTCCACCCTTTGTATCTGTGGGTTCCATGCTGCTAGATTCAACCAATGGCAGACTGAAAATAATTGAGCAAAAAAAGCGTCTGTACTAAATATGTAGACTTTTTTTTTCTTGTCGTTATTTCCTAAACAATATGGTATTACAACTATTTACGTTGTATTATGTATTATAAGTAATCTAGAGATGATTTAAAGTATATAGGAGATTGTGCATAGGTTATTTGCAAATACCACACTATTTTACATTAGAGACTTGAGCATCCTTGGATTTTGGTATCCTTGAGGAGTCCTGGAACCAATCTTCCACAATACTGAGGGATAATCATATATCACATTTCTGGCAAGAACTAGCTGGTGCATTCAAACAGTGTAACTCAGGAGAGTTTATGAGGGACTATTTACAAGGATATGGGAAGGGTTAAGGAAAGTCAATAGGAGATGATGAAGCATCTGAAAGCTTAGTTACAAAGAACGTAGGTCCCTGTAGATACAAGACGCAGGAATAATTACAGATCCCTCAGATGCCGCTAGCTGTAGCTATAGGATAAAGCTTTTTGAGTGACTACCCAACTGGAACTATGTCTTAGAAAGAAGATCACAGCTATAGCCAACCCAAGGCCCATCAGGAAAATAAATACCCTAAACAATTGACTAAAAGTAAGAAGAAGCCAGAGGGCCAAGTATATGGTTGATAGCTAGAGGTTAACCTTTTGGGGTGCAAGGCAGGGTAAAGAAGGGTAGAGAGTGGATTAGGAAAAGCAACAGATAATTTCCAGCTCATTCTTACCAGAGCAGTTTTGTACATGCTGTTTCTCTGTTTGGATGCTGTTTTTGAAGGCTGGTCATCTTCAACTAGTTCATTCTTTTTCATCCTTCAAACCTTAGATGCATGTGTCTTGTTTTGTATAGCAGCTATCTTTAACCAACTAATAGGCCAAGAGCCTTCATTATGGAGCTGGATTCTCTCCTTTTCAGCACTGATATCAGTTTGTAATCATCCTGCTATTAGTGTGATAATTTAATCAATGTATGTGTCCTCCCTATGGCTCTATATTCCACGTGACTGGGGATTATGCCGGATTTAACTCATAGTGGAATCCCTAGGCACTAACACACAACACCTGGTATATAGTAGGAACTCACTAAATTCCTGCTGAATAAGTACATATACTGAAAATGTATGCTGTAGTCTGAATGCTCGTGTCCTGCACCAAATTCATATGTTGAAGTCTTAACCCTTGAAGTGATAATATTAAGAGGTGGAGCCTTGGGAACTGATTAGAAGATGACAGTGGAATCCTCATAAATGGGATTAGTACTCTTATAACAGAGACCCAAGGGAGCTTGTTTACTTCTTCCACCAAGTAAGGGTGCAGCATGAAGACACTGTCTGTGAGGAAAGGGCCCTTACTAGTCACCAAATCTGGTGGTGTCTTGGTCTTAGCTTTCCCAGTCTCCAAAACTGTGAGAAATACATTCCTGTTGTTTATAAGCCACCCAGTCTAAGGTATTTTGTTATAGCAACCTGAATGGACTAAGACACAATGTAGCATGCTCAGTGGCTTGAGCTCTGGGGTCACCTTCTGTCCAGAGGCTGACTGGGCAGTGCCCATCACCACAAGGGCCTAGATGGGCTGAGCACAAGTTTCCTAGCTCTGTAGCTTTTTGTTCTTCATGCTTCCCTTGCTATCAAGGAGGCTGGCTCCTCTCTCCAGGAATTCCAGGAGTTGCTCTTGTTGCCAGGGCTCTGGCCAGGCAGGGTCCAGTGTTGCAGCTCAAGAAAAGTCCCCAGGATCTTCTCATTGCTTGTTCATGTTTCTGCAACATCACTGTGTTTCGATGAAGGTCAGGACTGCTGGAAGCTGTCCTGTCAACCTTCTCTGCTTGGGCCTAGGCAGAAGGCTTGCTGGAAGATCTTAGGGTTCTCACTGATATTGAAGTGAAGAGAAAAGTATGTATTCTCCAGAATATGCTAGGAGCGGCCATGGTGCAAGTTCATCTTCACAGCCAATTTAGCCTATTGGTCACTGTCCGTGACATGATAAAAATGTTCATCTCCAATGTTAGTCCACAGCTGGTGAAGCACTGGCAATAGGTTTTGCAGGGAGACATTATTCTTGCAGCTGCAATACCCCCTTTCCTCCAGTACCCCTCACCCAGCTGGTTTCAGGCTTCCACCAGCTCAGGCTCCAGCTTCATAGCCTTTGATAGAAACTCCTCAGCCTTAGAGACACAGTCAGGAGTAATGTTCAGTGCCTTCCCAGTCAGCATCTTCACTGTACTTTGCCCTGGATTAAACCCACGACTTCCTCCATCTGCCACAGGGTCTTCAACATCTCCTCCGGGGGCTTCTGTGTCTCCTCCTGCACATCCTATTGCTTCCCCCCAGCATCCTCAACACTATGTGTCTTGAAATTGCAGTCTTGAAATGAATAGAGCTGATCCACCAGTTCCTGCAGTTTCTGTGAGATCTGCCTGACTTCTTCCTTTTCATTAGCCATCATTTCCCAGCTATCATCATTAATTAATTAATATGCAATCTGGTAAGTGCAGTGATTAGAAATGGATTTTTCTGTGAAGTTAATGAAGCTTAAGCTTCAGAACTCTCACTCCCTGGGCCTGTTCCAAGGCCCTGGCAAGTTGTTCACATGGTCATATGTTTTTGTAAAATATGCAAATGTTAGCTGTTTTAATCACACTCAAGTAAAAGCGTGCTTTCTCTCTACTCTGACTTCCCATGTATCTCACTTCTGCTTGTGTTAAATAATGTTAAACTAGCAGTGGGCATTTTTGGGATTTCAATAAGGGGAATGGAGTTGAGGATGCATTTTGTTTGGACTTAGTGGGATATGTTTATGTGTTTTTCGGTTGCTTCCATATATATTGAAGCTATTGTTAATCATCTTGGGGTAGAAACGTCTTCTAGGAATTCTTGCATTGCTCATTGTGCCAACTCACCTGACATTGGGACATGACAGTGCAGGGCGAGTTTATAACCTGACATGAATATATTCCACATTCCTAGCACAAAAAGAAAGTGGGTGGAGACAAAACAAGATTGGACATATATGGAGCCAGAAGCTCATCCTTGGAAAATTCTTCCCATCGTTCAATGTGTAAAACTGTAAGCAAAGGCTTTGATTCTCATTTATCTTCAGTTTCGATGGAAGATCTTTCATATGTAATAACAACTGTATGTTTTTTTGATAAGAATCATGTGAAGTAGAATTTATCAGAAATTCTGTGTTTGTAACAATACAGAGATTTTGTCTGTGTATAAAGTAACATGTTTTACAAAGCCCAACTATCAATAATAAGAAAAATTCTGATCAATTGTAGCATACGAAAGACCGAGTTCTATTTCTCCTCTCTCTATGGAAAGTAATATTACAAAATTATTGTTGAAGAGATGATAAAGAGTATGCAACTGACAAGTGGGAAAACAGGTAGGAAAGGTATTCTAGAGAAATCAGGCCATTAATTAATGAAATACGATGTGTATTTTTTTCTATATTTTGGATAGGTAGTATATTTTTCAGATTTTGAAAATTTGTATTAATTTTTCCCTTCATAAATAATATTATCTTGGCATTCTACTTTTATATTTGTAGTTTTATATTCTTTTGCTTAAAGAGGGTCTTGAAAATTGTACTAGGTTCAGGCCCCACAAACCCGAGGCTGCACCCTGTGGTAGCAGAAGCAGGCACTAGTTCTTGAGGGAGTGGGTAGTTTTGGATGGGGATGTAAAGGGTCAGACGCTTCCTTAAAGAGGAAACACTTAAGCTGAGGTCTGGAGGCCGAGTAGTTTTCCAGAGAAACTCTCCAAATTGCAGAAGGGCTTGCCCAATCATGGAATTTCTTTTCAGTTTTGTACTCATAGTAGGCACGTTTGGTTTACAGCTTCCTTCAGGATGTTTGTTGCCATTGTTATGTGTGGCTGTCATTACTTTATAACAGGTTGTGGAGAGAGGACATTTGGTATGGGGTCTACAGGATCCTGTGGATTGACTCTGAGCTGCCTATAAAGAGAGGTAACTAGGAACTGGTGAAACCCCAAGGGTGTTTGGGACTCTAGGCACAAACAGAACTGTTTCAGAGCTTAGGTGACCATTTTTCTGCATCTGCATGGATCCAGCTTTATTCTATCATGTCCTTTGGCATGGACAATGGTGTAACCTCGATGGTGGGTCACAGCTAGGATGTTTCTCTGAGTGGCTGAGCAGGCTGCAGAGGTGGAAAAGTGGGAAACAGCAAGTGTTAGTCTGTTTTTGCATTGCTATGAAGAAATACCTGAGACTGGGTAATTTATAAAGAAAAGAAGTTTAATTGACTCATGGTTCTGCAGGCTGCACAGGAAGCATGGCGCCCAGCATCTGCTTAGCTTCTCATGAAGCCTCAGGGAGTTTTCACTCATGGTGGAAGGTGGAGCGAGAGCAGGCATCTCACATGGTGAGAGAGGGAGCAAGACGCGGGGTGGGGTGGTGGGGGGTGGTGCCATACTCTTTTTAACAACCAGTGTGAACTCAGAGCAAGAACTCACTCATTACTGCAAGGACAGCGCCAAGAGGTTCATGAGGGATCCCCTCCCATGACCCAAACACTTCCTGCCAGGCCTCACCTCCAACACTGGGGATGACAATTCAACATGAGATTTGGAGGGGACGAAACCCAAACCATATCAGAGAGCCAAAGAGAAAGCACATCTAGCCTCATGGTGATGTCAGCTGGCAGATTGGTTGTGGGTTCATTTATATACTCAATAGGTATTTATTGAGTGCCTACTGTGTGCTAGATCTTATTCCAGACTCTGGGACTACCATAGAAAATAACGTGTGTGAAACTCCTGGCTTCTATGGAATACATGGGAGACATCCCTTGGGAATGACAAGAACTAACAAATAGGACTTATTGGGGGAAGGAGGGGGGAAGAGGGAGGGGTTGAGGTTATGCTGTCATAGGTATGGGTCATTAAGGCACTGGACTTTCAGTTTCCAAATGTTATAATTAAACTTAGTTCAAATTTTGCATTGTATTCTATTATACAATGGTGTTTGTTTTTTTATAAAAATGAAGTTTGCCCATCCGAGTCTTTGAGAACAACTGATAGTTCAGGGAGTTATGTTGTGTGTAACCAGGAAGTTATGTTGTGTATAACCATAAACCCCTGCCGTGAGCTTTACAGTTAATTGAAGAGGAGCTATTTGAAGATTTTCAAACAAAGGAATGATAGAATCAGGTCTGTGTTTATGTAACTCACTCTTACTTCTCTATGGGGCTTGAAGGAAGAAGCCAGGGAGACTAGTTAGGGGTAATGCAACACTCCGACTAGAGAGGATGAGGACCGGAGGCGGAACTGGGGAAACTGGAAGGGAAGAGGAAGGACAGAGTCAAATAAGACTTAGGAAGTAAAACTAGCAGAACTTGGAAACTGATTGCATGGGAGTGGAGGCAGGAGTTAGAGAAGTTGAGGACTATTTCTAGGATTTTCAGGGTGGATGGTGAGGCCACCAACTGAGATAGAACATTAAGGTGGAAGAACACATCAGGGATCAAATAATGAATTCATCAGCCTGGGCAACACAGTGAGACCCTGTCTTTAAACATTAAGAAAAATTAGCTGGGTGTGTTGGTGCATGCCTGTAACCCCAGCTATTGGGGAGGCTGAAGCAGGAGGATCACTTGAGCCCAGGAGTTCAGGGCTGAAGTGAGCTATGATTGCACCACTGCACTCCAGCCTGGGTGACAGAATGAGAACCTGACTCTAAAAATAAATAAATAAATAAATAAAAAAGATTCAGTGTTGGATATGTTAAGTTTGAGGTGTCTGTGGATATCTGTTGGGAATGACCATTAGAAAGTTTGATTTTCAAGTCTGCTGGGGGAAGTGCTGTGAGCTAGAAATAAATATTGGCAATTATTAGAATACAAGTGGTGCTTTGAGCAGAGATAAGGGATGAGGTTGCTGAAGAAGAGTGGGGAGACTGAGATTAGTCCCCTGAGGACAGGACACTAGGGTTACTATATATAACTCTTATAGTGTGGTCAGAGGAATGGGGCCCTTTAAAGGTACTTAGGAGGGGCCCAGAGAAGTACAAGAAGCTTCTCTGTTATACTTTTCTGGTGTGAGCAAATGTGGAGTTGCTGAGCCTCCTTAATTCATTCAAGAAATATTTATTAAATATCCCTGGATATGTTGCAACATTTCCCACTAATTACTTGGTGACTGGTGTCAGATGTCCAGATGGTTGTATTGTGGAAATCACATATTATTAACTCCTTGGTGGGAAGAAATGGCTCTAAATAAGGTCCCATGGCCCACAGCAGGAAGGCCCAAGACATTGAGCATGAAGTCAGCAGAGCTGTTGTGAAGAGCAACCAGATGGGGAAGGAGGATGAGGAGTGTGGGGGCAAGCAGGCCGGCCTGAGGGAATGCCACGTGTTGGACGCTGGAGGTGTGCTGTGTCGCTTCTGTCGCAGAGCCACCAGCAGCGTGCCTGGTGGTTTGCTGGCAATCACGGCTTCCTGCAGGAGTGCCTGAATCCCTGCTTAAGCCACAAGGCTGGGACTTGCTGGTTTCCTTCCCCAAAGCAGGCTTCGCAATCTGTTCAGGGCTGTCTCGGTGCTTGGGAGGAGGTGGAGGAACTGGGATTCACCATCTGTGAGAGTATGGCAGGGAAAGAAGGAATAATTGTTCGGTTTTTGAAGAATGATAAGAAAGAAAATCTCATCATTTTACAAGTAGAGTTTAATTCATGTACTAGATAAGAGGACACCTAACCTCTGACAAGAATCATTAATTTACTCCATCAAATATGTTCATAGAAATCCTAAGGTTGATAAAATTCTCAAACAGAAAATGTTAAAAGGTCTAAGAAAAATTATAATGGCTTTAGCTATAAGGGCCTAAATAATTAAGAATAGTCTCAAAGGCATATGGAACATCAGAGAAAAGTTATGGACTTTTTTGTCTGTTAAAGGAGAAAATCTCAAGATGAAGATGGCTTTTTAAACAGAATGGCAAGTGAACACTTGTCCACTTAATTGTAAACACCTGTCCAGTTTTGTTTCCTGCACCAGACTCCTTTTAAAAATGTTGTAGAGCAAGTGGCCAAGTGTCAGCCGCTTTCAAATGCATTCACCTGATCCTCAAACGCTTGTGATATCTGCATTATTATCTCTATTCTCAGATGAGAAAACAGAAGCTCTGAGAAGTAGTGTACTGTGCGCTTTCGTCAAAGCTGCTCAGCAGCAGAACCGAGACCCTCAAGCCAGATAGAAGGGCTCACGCTTACTCTCCACGCCCTTCTACCTCAGCTTCACTTCTTGGTGCTCCCTACTTGCCATGATAGAATCCACTATATATATATATTTTTTTTTGGATTTTGAGGCCATGCCTCCTGATCAGTTTTATATCTGAATCAAGAACTGAGTTATGGGTATGCCTTGAGATTGGGTGGTCAGAATGCCCTGGTGTCTCACATGCTGCCTCTCCTGGGGTACAAAGTCGGAGGGAGAGAGAGAATATAGTTTATCGCTCATCTTAATTCTTGTTTATCTCCACCATAAAGGTCCTGCATCAGAGGTGATGAGTAGGAGTGAGGTGGAGGGGAGCAGGCCTCCCTCTCAGCGGACTCAGGCACTGAGTCCCCACCATTGGGTGGCACAGGAGCAGGATCAGGAAGACAGACCCAGGATCATGTTGTACTGTGCTCCTTAGGAGAAAATAGGCCAAGGCCTGTATTCAGCCTAAGAGTTGAATCAGAGAAGGCAAAATTAGAATATGCAAGAAAGTATGTAACTTCATTTCAGCATTCAATTTAACTAGAGCTCATTCCCATTGGAAAATAGGGTTTTACCGACAGCTTGTATTGTGTTGCTAATTAAATTCCATCACCTGCTTCCCCTGTTTGCGACAGCATTAGGTGGCGGGATGATGGCATTGGGAGATTTCTCTGGGTTGACTGATCTTTCTTTGATTTTTATGTTGTCTTCTCTTCCCCCCAACCTTTTTAAAAAAATTTTTTCAATATTATTACAGAAAGACAGATTGTGAATGGAGTTTAGGCCTGCCCTCGGTTCCTGATGGAGGTATACACATGAACTAAGTATAAAGTCGGCTGATTGTGAAATGTTCAGTTTGGAAAGTCATTATCCCATGAGCAACATCATCAAGATATGCAGGACTTGTTTTCAATGTTAAGCTTGTGGCACAGATTTCCTTGTCATACGGAACGTACCTTACTAAAGGTTGCTTGACCTGGTTGAGTCATGATGCATTTTGGGTGAATAATTGTCCTCATTTTACTCTTTTTACTGTCCTTGTAACCCCTTCAGGGTCTTGAAAAAATACGGTCTGGTAAATTTTTTTCTTTTGTTTTTACTGTAACACTGAATATGTAATGTAGTTTTGCAGATCCTGTGGCAAGAGATTGGCTGGCTTCCATACTCATTTAAAAATCACTATTGGTGCCTCTGCTGGAGGGGTTTTCAATTCTCCATCTCTAATCTGTCCTTCTGAAAGATTTAGTGACCAGATGTCCAGGATCAGTGAGAAAGATCTTGTCTGCCAGCGTGAATATTTTTTTCCTATCATCCTGCTGGCCTAGGGACTTGAAAATCCCCATCAAGCATAGCTAGCTGCGGATGTCTCTGGTAGAAGTATTGTTAACCAAATTCAAGGTTACTAGACTAGCCCAGCTCTAATATTTATAAAACTCGTTTTATGTTTTCATCTTTAATTCTTTTTTTTTTTTTTTTTTAAATCAGCTTTCTTTTTAACTACCTTTTCTATTCTTCTTTCCCAGTCTGGTCATGTACCTCTTATCTTTGACCTTATTACTTCTCATCTGCAGAGATATTTCTACCATGATTTCACTCTGCTATCACCTTCTCTGCTTGCTTGATGTAACCTTGCCAAGCAACTGGCCTTGTTACTTAGAGTGTGGTCCTCAGGCACCAGCATCAGCATCACCTGCAAGCCTGTTGGGAATGCAGGATCTCAGCCCTCACTTTGGACATACTGATTCAGAATCTGTGTTTTCACAAGATTCCTCAGGTAATATGGATGCATGTTAAAGTTTGCAAAGCTTTGCTCCAATGTATGGCCTTACAAACTCAGTCTTTTCTAGCAACCTATGACACAGAGGGCATAGTTACCAAATATTTTTCACTCTGTTGATGTGCTGGGGTAACCACTGACACTTGCAATTGGGGAGTGGAATGCCAGAGGAGAAAGTTGCTCAGCAGGGTTGGAACCATGTTCCCAAGGCAGGTGGTCCTGCCACGGCTCTGGACAGGTGAATTTTCTACTTTTCATTATCTGCACCAATCTGATGTCCTCCTCTCTCATACTTGCATAGCAAGGAAATGAAGCCACTGCAGTATGAAGGTGTATTTCAAATGACAAAAAAGTGTCACTTTAGAGCAAGAGTCCATAGAATGGTGGGGAGACAGATGTCTCAATTTCAGCTGCATGTTCTAAGTGACACATTTCACGAGACAACCAGATGTCTCCATTTCATCTGTTAACAGTTGTTCCCCATGAGACGGGTAAGTGGGTGAGCAGGCACCACAGCTCTGGGACTGGTGAATGTCTCGATGTGACAGCCTCGTCACAGGAGGCACAAGGTTCATAATTGTTTTTTCAAGTTAACAGTTTCAACAGTTATATATCCACATTTTTTCACAAACTACAGAGGTTCAACAGAAATTTACCATGGCGATGCACCTCTCACTATAATATGAAGTGTAAGGCACATGAATCTTCTGGGGATCTTGGTAAAAATGTAGATTCTGATTACATAGGTCTAGGATGGGGCCTGAGGGTCTGTGTTTCTAACAGGCTCTCAGGTGACTCTGATGCTGAAACAATGGGAAGCTCTTGCCTCTTCTCCAAACAAGAATTTCAAACTGAGGAGCAATTAGCTTTTCAAACACAATGCCACTTGGTCTACTTTTCCATTTGAGAATGAGATCAGGAAGTTTATTAAGATTTAGGAGCATCATTGCAGTGGTGCATTTTCTTTTTTAAAATCAAACTACGTATCTCTTGCTACCCTATATACATCCAGCAAAGGGAAGACAAAATACATCAGCCTTCAGTCCCTTTTGCCTCCAATACATCCAGCCAACTGTCACCAACATAATCTTCCTGAAACACTGCTGTCACCATGTCACTTCCCTGCTCAAGAATTTACAGTCATTTCCTGTTTCCTATTTCCTATTGGACCAAGTCTAAATTCATCTGCCAGGCTTTCAAGGACTCTCATAACTTGGCTCACTCTATTTATTCAATCTTATTTTCTTCCCCTCCTCAGCCAGGACTCCCTGTCACTCAGACCCGCCTCTGTACTGCTTTCCTTCCACTGCCAGACTGCACTGTGCTGCAGCTCACCTGAATCTGCTGTTTCCATAGCAGGATTCAAGGGCTAACTTCTCATGACATTGTTTCTAACTTTTTTAGATTGCAATGATCACATCTTTCTCTGAATTTCTATGGTGAAACAATTTAGCACTTAATTTAAATTTATTTATTTATTTATTTATTTATTTATTTATTTATTTATTTATTATGGAGTCTTGCTCTGTTGCCCAGGCTGCCAGGCTGGAATGCAGTGGTGCAATCTCGGCTCACTGCCACCTCTGCCTCCCAGTTTCAAGTGATTCTCTTGCCTCAGCCTCCCGAGTAGCTGGGATTACAGGCATGCGCCACTACGCCCGGGTAATTTCTGTATTTTTAGTAGAGATTGAGTTTCACCATATTGGCCAGGCTGGTCTCGAACTCCTGACCTCAGGTGATCTGCCCGCCTTGGCCTCCCGAAATGTTGGGATTATAGGCATGAGCCACTGTGCCAGGCCCTACTTAATTTAGATTTAAAATTGCTTTGTGTAGGAGGTTGAGTAGCATCCCCCTCAAGATTCATGTCTACCCAGAACTTTAGAATGTGATTTTATTGTAAATAGGGTCTTGGCAGATGTAACTAGTTTAGATGAGGTCATTTGGCACCAGGGTGAGCCCTAAATCCAACGACTGGTGTCCTGATGAGAAGAGGAAATAAGAGGAGAAGACACAGAGACATACAGGGAAGAAGGCCATGTGAAGACAGAGGCAGGAATTGGAGTGATGCTGCTACAAGCCCAGGAATGCCAGGAGCCACCCTGGAGGAGGCAAGGAAGGATCTTCTCCTAGAGCCTTTGAGAGGAGTGCAGACCTGTTAAGACCTTTATTTTGAACTTCTAGCCTACACAACTGTGGAAGAAATCTCTGTTATTTTAAGCTACCGAGTTTGTGGTAATTTACTAAGGCAATCCTAAAACACACTTTGTATTAATTTTTATCTAACGCGTGTATGGTAGCTTTAGCTCTTTAACTGCACCCGAAGTCTCTACAGAATGGGGGCCCCTGTGCTCTTCTAATATTCCCTGGAATGGTTTATGTAGGACTAAAACAGTAATGTAAAAATATGATTTTTTTTTGCATTTTACTTTTGTTGTTGAGATACGTCGTGCATACTATAAAGTGCAAAAATCTTAAGTGTATAGCTTATGACTTAAAAAAACCCACCATAATGGAATCACTACCCAGATCAATGTAGAAGACATCCACAGCACCCCAGAATCCTCCCTTATACCTTTTCCTAGTTAGAATCACTAGTTGAACTTCAATTGCCACATATTAGTTTTGCTTGTTCATGAACTTTATATGAATAGATTCATCCAGAGGCTTCTATCAACCCTGTGTTGTGAGGTTCATTCATATTTTTACATCTAACAGTTTATACTTCATTAAAATTTTTTTAAAAGGTGTTGTAAATTGGCAATTTATAACAGTATGTATTTATGGAATACAGAGTGGTTACGATGTATGAATACAAAATGGAATAATCACATTAAGGTAATTTTAACATTTGTCACCTCAAATACTTATTTATTTTTGTGGTGAGAACATTTGAAATTTGCCCTCAGTGATTTTGAAATGCACAATACTTTATTATTAACTATATTCACCATGCTGTGCAATAAATCTCAAAAAAACCAACACTTAGTTTTCCTGTCTGAGACTTTGTATCCTTTGACCATCATTTTCCCATTCTCCCCACCTCCAGCCTCTGTAAGTGAGAACACGTGGTATTTGTCTTTCTGTGCTTAGCTTATTTCACCTAGAATATAATGTTCTTTAATTCCATCCATGTTATTGCAAATGCCAGAATTGCTTCCTCCTCCTCCTCCTTTTTTATTATTAAGAGACCAGTGTTTGCTCTGTCATCCAGGCTAGTGTAACTCCTGGCCTCAAGTAATCCTCCAGCTTTAGCCTCCCTAGTCGCTGGGATTATAGGCACAAGCCACCATGCCAGGTTCAAAATTTCCTTCTTTTTAAAGTCTGAATAATGTTCCATTGTGTATCTATATCACATTTTTCCTTATCACTTCATCTGTTGATGGACACTTAGGCTGATTCCATAGCTTGACTATTGTGCATATTGCTGCAATGAACATGGGAGTGCATATCTCTTTGACAAGCTGATTTCCTTTCTTTTGGGTAAATACCCAGAGGTAGGGTTGCTGGATCATATGATAGCTCTGTTTTTAGTTTTTTGAGGAACCTCCATCCTGTTTTCCATAATGGTTATACTAATTTACACTCCTACCGACAGTGTACAGGGGTTCCCTTTTTTCCACATCCTCACCAACTTGTTACCTTTTGTCTTTTTTTCTTTATAGTAGCCATTCTGATAGTTGTGAGGGGATATCGCATTGTGGTTTTGATTTGCATTTTTCAGATGATTAGTGGTGTTGAGCTTTCTTAAATATATCTGCTAGACATTTGTATGTCTTCCTTTGAGAAATGTCTATTCAGATCTCTTGTTCAGTTTTTAAACTGGATGATTTGTGTTTTTGCTATTGAGTCTTCCTTATATATTTTGGATGTTAACCCCTTAACAGATGTATGGCTTGCAAATATCTTCTCCCAATCTGTAGGTTGTCTTGTCAGAGTTAATTGTTTACTTTGCTTTGCAGAAGCCTTTTGGTTCAATGTAATCCTATTTGTCTATTTTTAGTTTTGTTGCCTGTGCTATTGTGGTCAAATCCCAAAAAATTGTTGTCCAGACTAATGTCAAAGTGTAGGTTACCCCTGTGTTTTCATCTAGTAGTTTTAGTTTGAGGTCTTATGTTTAAACCTTTAATCCATTTTGAATTTATTTTTGTATACGGTGTGAGATAAAGGTCCAATTTCATTCTTTTGCATGTGGATATATCCAGTTTTTCCAATGCCATTTATTGAAGAGACTATCCCTTTCCCATTGTGTGTGGCATTTTTGTTGAAAATCAATTGGCCATATGTGCATGGGTTCATTTCTGGGCTCTCTATTCCCATACATTGGTTGATGTACCTGTTTTTATGCCAGTATCATGCTGTTTTCATTACTATAGCTTCAAAGTATAATTTGACATCAGGTAGTATGATGCCTCCAGATTTCTTCTTTTTGCCCATGATTGCCTTGGCTATTTGTAGTATTTTGTAGTTCCATGTGAATTTTAGGATTTTTATATTTTTATGAAAAATGACATTGCAATTTTGATAAAGATTGTATTAAATCTGTAGATCACTTTGGGTAGGATGAACATTGTAACAATATTCTTTCAATTCATGAACACAGCTATCTTTCCATTGATAGGTGTCTTCAATTTTTTCATAAATGTTTTATAGTTTTCACTGTGCAAGTCTTTTACCTCCTTGATTAAATTTATTCCTAAGTATTTTATTTTTTTGGTAGCTATTGTAAATGGGTTTTTTTTCTAGATTTAATACATTTTTATTAAATGAATATACCACTGTTTATTCATTCTGTTGTTGGAGCTCATTTGGGTCATTTCTGGGTTTTGGCTATTGAGAATGTTGCTCTGAACATTCCTATATGGTATTTTGGTGCACATTTAAACACCAAGGTGTATATTGTTGGTCTATACCTAGGAGTGGATTGCTGAGTCATGGTTCAACATGGTTCATCCATGTTGTTGTGTGGGTCAGTAGTTTGTTCTTTAAAAAAATTTTATTTCTTAATTTTTGTGGGTACATAGTAGGTGTATATGTTTACGGATTATATAAGATACTTAGGTACAGGCATGTAGTGCATAATAATCACATCAGGGTAAATAGGGTATCTGTCACCTCAAGCATTTATCCTTTGTGTTACAAAGAACACAATTATGCTCTTTTAATTATTTAAAAATGTACAATTAAATTATTTTTGACTATAGTCAATCTGTTGTGTTAGCAAATACTAGGTCTTATTAATTCTTTCTAATTTTTTTGTACCCATTAACCATCCCCCCATTACCCACTTTCCTTCCTAGTCTCTGGTAACTATCCTTCTGCTCTCTATCTTCATGAGTTCAATTATTTTAACTTTTAGCTCCTACAAATAAGTGAGAACATGCAAAGCTTGTCTTTCTGTGCCTGGCTTATTTCACTTAACATAATGCCCTCCAGTTCCATCCATGTTGTTGTGAATGACACGATCTTATTCCTTTTAATGGCCGAATAGAACTCCATTGTGTACATGTAGATTTCTTTATCCACTCATTTTATTTATCCACATTTTCTTTATCCACTCATCTGTTGATGAACACTTAGGTTGCTTGGCTATTGTGAATAGTGTTGCAATAAACATGGAGGTGCAGATATCTCTCTGATACAGATTTCCTTTCTTTGGGGTATATGCCTAGGAGTGGGATTGCTGGATCATATAGTAACTGTATTTTTAGGTTTTTGAGGAACCTCCAAACTGTTCTCCATAGTGGTTGTACTAATTTATGTTCCCACCAACAGTGTACAAGGGTTCCCTTTTCTCCACATCCTCACCAACATTTATTATAGCATGACTTTTAGATAAAATCTATTTAAGCTGGGATGAAATGATATATTATTATGGCTTTTATTTGCATTTCTCTGATGATCAATGATGTTGAGCACCTTTCCATATCCCCGTTTGTCATTTGTATGTCTTCTTTTGAGAAACATCTATTCAGGTCTTTTGTTCATTTATTCATCAGATTATTAGATTTTTTTCCTATGAGTTGTTTGAGCTCATTATGTATTCTGGTTATGAATCCGTTGTCAGATGGGTAGTTTGCAGATATTTTCCCCATTCTGTGAGTCGTCTCTTCACTTTGTTGATTGTTTCCTTTGCTGTACAGAAGCTTTTTAACTTGATGTGATCCCATTTGTCCATTTTTGCTTTGGCTGCCTGTGCATATGAGGTATTACTCAAGGAATCTTTGCCCATTCCAATGTCCTGGAGAGTTTCCCCAATATTTTCTTGTAGTAGTTTCATAGGTTGAGATCTTAGATTTAATTCTTTAATCCATTTTAATTTGATTTTTATATATGGTGAGAGATAAACGTCTAGTTTTATTCTTTTGAATATGGATATATAGTTTTCCCAGCACCATTTATTGAATAAACTGCCTTTTCCCCAGTGTATGTTCTTGACACCTTGGTCAAAAATGAGTTCACTGTAAATGTATGAATTTATCTCTAGGCTCTCTATTTTGTTTTATGGATCAATATATCTGTTTTCATGCCAGTACCACACCATTTTGATTATTATAGCTCTATAGTAAGTTTGTTCTTTTTTATTACTGGATAGTATTCCATTGTTATGAATCTACTACACTTTCTTTGTTCATCTGTTGATGGATATTTGGATCATTTCCAGTTTGGGATTACTGCAAATAAAGCTGTATGAAAATTCATCCTTTTGTGAACATATGCTTTCATTTCTCTTGGATGTGGATTATATAGGAATGGAATTTCTGGATCACACAGTAAGCATAAATTTAACTTTATAAGAAACTGTTCACGTTTTCCAATGGTTGTACCATTTTATACTCCAACCAGCAGAGTATGAGGGTTTTAGTATCTGCACATCCTTGTCAACACTTACTGTCAGTTTTTATAGTTTTAAGCATTTGAGTAAGTGTGAAATGATGTTTCATTGTGGTTTTATTTGCATTTCCCTAAATGACTATATTGAGTACCTTTTCATTTGCTTATATATGTTCTTTTGTGAAATGTCTGTTCAACTCCTTTGCCCATATTTTTTGTTAGGTTTTTTGTCCTTTTATTATTAATTTATAGGAGTTCTTTTACATATTCAGGATTCACTCTTGGTCAGATATTTGTATTGCAAGCCTGTGGCTTACCTTTTCAGTTTTTTAGTAGTGTCTTTCAAAAAACAAAAGGTTTTAATTTTGATAAAGTCAAATTTACCATTTTTTCTGTTTTTTTGCTGTCTTAGAAATCTTTATCCCAAGGTTGTAACGATTTTCTCCTGTGTTTTCTTCTAGAAGATTTATAGTATTATGTTTATATTTATGATCAATTTTGAATTTATGTGTATGGAAGAAGGTAAGAATTGATGTTCATTTTTGTATCTATCTATCTATCTATCTATCTATCTATCTATCTATCTATCTATCCATCCAGTTGTTTCGGCAACACTGGTTAAAAAGACTATTCTTTTTAAAATAAGTTACCTCGGGACCTTTGTTAAAAGTCAACTAAGTACAGATGTGTGGGCCGATTTCTGGAGTCTCTCTTTTGTTCCATTGATCTATTTGTCTATCACCATGCAAGTATCATGTTCTCTTTATTATTATAGCTTTATAATAAGTCTTGAAATCAGGTAGCGTAAGTTCTTCTTTTCAAGATCATTTTGACTATCCTATCTTGTGCATTTCCATATAAATTTTAGAATAAGATTATTAATTTCTATAAAAATGCCTGCTGGAATTTTGATTGGGATTGCATTGAAGATATAGATTAATTTGCTTAGAAATGACATCTTTACAATGTGTCTTCTAGCCCCCAGAATATATCTCTATACTTGCTTAGATTTAAGAAAATCTTTAGCGTTTTATAGTTTTCAATGTACAATTATTGTACCATTCTAAAATTAAACTTATGTCTTAAGTATTTTTATGTTTTTTTGATGCTACTATATTTCCTAAATTTTAATTTTTAAATTATTTGGTGCTCTTAAAGAAAAAAATGCAACTGATTTTTCATATATTGATATTGTGTCTTGCAACCTTGCTAAATTCACTTGTTAGAGGTACATAGATTCCTTAGGACTTTCAATACATGCAATTAAGCTGTCTGGCAATACACATAGCTTTCTTTCTTTGCAATCTTAATGCTTTTTGTTTCATTTTCTTGTTTTATTTCACAATCTAGGATCTCTTAATCTAGGATAGAAGTGGTGAGAGCAGACATCTTTGATGTTTTCTGTTTTAAAGGGAAAACATTCATTTGTCACTCTTAAATATGAATGGGTATTGATTTTTGTCAGTTTTTTTATATCTAGTGAGATGATCACATAATATTTAAATTATAGTAAGGTAGTAAATTGAATTCATTGATGAATTTAACCTTGCATTATTAGAATTAACTTCATTGGTCATGCCATATTCAATTTTAAATATATTGCTGGATTTGGTTTGCAACAATATTGTTGAGGAATTTTGTATTTATAATCGAGGTGTATAAGTTTTCTTGTAATGCCTTTGTTACTTTTGACACCAGAATTATGCTGAACTCATAAAATAAATTAGGAATGTTTATTCCTTTTTGATTTTCTGAAAGAGTTAGTTTAACTCGGTATTATGAAATGTTTGTCAGAGTTCACCAGTGAGCCATATGGACCTTGAGTTTTCTTTGTGAGAAGATTTTAAATGACAACTTCAATTTATTTTAAATATTAGGCTATTCATATTTTGTATTTCTTTTAGGAAGTTGTGTTTCTCAAAGAATTTGTACATTTCATTTAATTTGTCCAATTTACTAACATACTATTACTTATAATATCTTTTTAGTGTCTGTAGGATGATGTAGCAAAATCTCTGCTTTTATTCCCGATATTGGTAATTTGCAGTTTTTTTCTCTCTCTTTCATGAGTCTTGCTAGAGGTTTAGCATTTTCATTAAATCTACAATGGAAAAAGTGGTAGGAAGTTTTAGGAGTGATCTGGAAACTCTAAAAAAGAACCAAATTAAAATCCTAGGACTAACAAATATAATCACTGAAAAAAATCACTGCATGGGATTAACAGCAGGTTGAACACAACAGAAGACAGGATGAATCTGGAGACAGGTTAATAGAAATTATTCCAACTAAAGCACACAGAGAAAAAAATTGAAAAAAAATCCCAGAACTTTAATAACCTTGAGGAAATTATCAAACAATCTATCATATATGTAATTGGAATATTAAAAAGAGAGGAAAGAGAGAATTGGTTACAAAAACATTTTTAAAGTATGGACCACCCAATTTTCCAAATTTGGTAAAAAACTCAGCCCACCTGTCAAGAAAGGTCAACAAACCCCAAAGAGGATTAAAAAAAATCCCCTCACCTAGACACATAATAGTCAAATTGCAGAAAAATGAAAAACACAGAAAAAAATCTGAAAAGCAGACAGAGAGAAAAATACATTTTATGTACTGGAGAACATTGGTGTGGGTGAATTCTGCCTTTATGTAGCTTAAATCTTAACAGGGGACACAAACAATAAACAGAAAACATAATATGTAAGTAAATTATCGAGTGCATTGAAAGGTGATAAGTGCTGTGGGAAAAGGGGGAAGACGAGCAGGGTATGATGAATCAGAAATGCCAGAGGCCAGTGTGGTGCAGTGTTGTACAGTGTGGTCAAGGTAGGCCTCACTGGGAAGGCATTTGAGCACAGCCTTGCCATAAGCGGGGAAGTTGGGGAAAAGAATTCATGTAGAGGAAATAGGTGATGCAGATGCCCTGAGACAGGAAGAGTGAGGTGGGGCATCTGGAGTGAGGGAGAGTGCTGTAGTCTGAATGTGCACATCCTCTTGAAATTCATATGTGGAAATTCGATCTTCAAAGGAATAATATTAAGAGGTGGGGCATTTGGGGGGTGGTGGGGCATTTGAGAGGTGATTAGGGCAGGAAGGCTCTGCACTCATGAGTGGGATTAGGGCCCTTATAAAAAAGGCCAGAGGGAGCTTGTAGCCTTTTTTGCCTTTTATTGTGTCCTACACAGAAGTCATCATCTATGAGGAATAGGCCCTCACCAGAGATGAAATCTGCTGGTGCCTTGATCTTGGACTTCCCAGCCATCAGAACTGTGAGACATAAATTTCTATTTTTGATCAATTACCCAGTCTAAGGTATTTTGTTATAGCAGCCTGAACAGATTAAGAAAGAGAGAGTAGTAAGAAATTAGGTCATTGTTATTCCACATCTCTCAACTGTGTCTCCAGACACTGTACCTATGCTGCCCTTTGGAGTTTTTTCTCAGTCCATTGAATGAATATTTCTCTCCTCTACTACACTGGAAATCGTGGGACAAGGACTGTATATTTTACTTCTTTTGCACCATCAGTGCTTAAATAAATACACACTAAATAAATAAATGAATAAATAAACAGATTTACAAATGTCCTGCTTTAATTCTCCCATTCACATTTATCATGTAGACAAAACAGTAGCTACCTGTTCTGTCTGTCCACTTACTTGGCTGACCTAGACTGTAAGCTGTGACCTCAGAGACTACCGCAGTCTTATTCACTGACACTTTCCCAGAGTTTGTCATGGTCGCTAGCATATGGAAGTGCCCAATAAATATATTTGGAATGAATGACTAAGGCCACAATTTCACAGCCAAAGAATCACGTATGTATGTATCTATATAATATGTGTATACGTAATTTTAAAAAGTCAAATTCAAAAGTTAACTTGACCTCATCTTCTATGAATTGAGATTACAACATTAGCAGGAATACGTCCCCATTCTGTTCAGGCCTCCAGACACTTTACTACTCCCATGATTATACCGTCACTACCTTAACAACCCCCACCCCAGTGTGACAACATGTGGATTAGCATCTATGAAGACTTATCCCCACCTAGCAACCAGGGGATTAAAACATAAATGATATAAATAGTGTAGTCACTATTTCATCATAGTACAACATTCCTTATAAGGACAGAGGTGCATTTATTGCCACATGAGATAGACTTTTGCCCTGAGAAATAGTATTGGTGTCCAGAGTCAATTGATTTTCTTACTTTCTACATTGCTTGCTGTAATTTCCAAGATGGCATATTTACGAACACTGAATGTTACATTGGGAATTGTATTTTTTCATCTGTATTACGTTGCTTAGGAACATTGACATAAATTTCAAATTTGTGCATCCAAAACATATTACGAATAAGATGTGTGCTATTCACATTCAACCTAATATATATTGCACTGTCAATGAATTAGCCAATAGCACACTGGAAAGTTTTTTGGGGATAATTCACTCATAAGATCAATAGTAGAAAAGGAGGCAACTCCTAGTCCAATTTAGCAGCATAGCAATGATTTTTACAGAAACCTTGACAGGGCTCCCAGAGTAAATAATTACCATTTCCATTACTGCTGAAGGTAGCCTGTTTGGTACAAAATATGTGGGTACTTAGACATCATGAATTACTTATTGTTAGAGACCTTCTTAGGGGGAGAGGATAATTTCTTATGCCAAAAGGTGGAGAAGGCAGAAAGAGGTGTTCAATTCTGAAGATGTTGCTAATAATATAGATGGTCCCTGACTTATGATGGTTGGACTCATGATTTTTCAACTTTTCAGAATGAGTGAAAACAATATGCATTCAGTAGAAACTGTACTTCCAGTTTTGAATTTTGATATTTTCCTGAGCTAGAGATACGCAATACAATACCCTTTCCTAATGCTGGGCTGCAGCAGCTCCAGTTAGCCACTGATCAGGACAGTAAACAACCGATACTATGCAGTGTCCTGTTGCGAGATCATTTTGCCCAACTGCAGGCTGATGTGTTCTCAGCACATTTAAGGTAGGTGAGGCTAAGTAAGCTATGATGTTCAGTAGGTTAGGTGTATTAAATGCGTTTCCACTTATGATATTTCTAATATATGATGGGTTTGTTTGGACATAATTTACCATCCCAAGCCGAGGAGCAACTGTACACAGAAAACAAAGGGTTTGTGCCATAGACTGAGGGGAAGTAATGACCACAAAATAATTACATTTTTGTAACAAAGAAGAGTTAATGAAATGAGACCTTGTAAAACCAGTTAGAACATTGTTAGATAAGTGAGTCTTGAAAGCCAAGGCAAAGGATAATGAGATAATGAAAATATAACTGGCTGTGCCAAATGTACAGAAGTCTTGTGAGTCTTAAGAATGCATTAGAGGCTGAATTCATCTGGAAGATAAGGAAAAAGCTCAGAAGATCTCGCTATTTCCACACTGGCAGGCACAAATGCTCCATTTGCTCCAGTTTTTCAGGAGTTACGAAATTCCTATATTCTCCCACTTCTATTTTAGTGATTTTTGACAACATTGAAAAAGTTTTTAGTCGATATAATTTATATCATTTCAGCAGTTACTGTTGCTTGACATACATTTCAGTACTTCTAAAAGACATTCTTATTTTCTTTCCTTCCTACCAGTCTCTTTCACCAGTTTTTCCTTTATCTGTACACTTATAATGTGTGGATGCTCCCCAAGCTTTGTCTTCTTCCCTTTTTTTCTTGATCATACTCTTCCCTTGGGCTGCCTCATTCAGTCCCATGGCTTTGAATAACAGTGTATCTTGGTGATTTTTAAAACCACAGTTATAGTTCTGATTTCTTTTGTTAATAAAGCCAAATATCCAGCTGCCTGCTAGATAGGCCACATAGATGTCTGCCTACTTCTTATAACTTTGGTTTGTTGTATTCATCCTCAACCTGGTTCTTCCTTTTGCATTTTCTTTTCTGCTTTTGGGCACCACCATCTCCTAAGCCTTTTACCTTCACTAGTATCTCAAAATAATTTCCTTAAATTTCTTCTCTCTCATACCCCATTTAGTTGATCCTACTTACCATGTCTGTTTGGCTAGGCCACTTCATCCCTCCAATTCCTACTGCTGCTTTCCTAATTCATATCTCATCATAGCTCGGTGAAACATTTAAAAGGCTTCCTTGCTGCCCTCTGTTCATTCACTGATTCATTAATTCAGTAAATCTTTATTGAATGCCAAATATGTACCAGGTATTATTTTAGGCACTTGAGATATTGCTGTGAGCAGAACAGACAAAAAAATCTCTCTCATTAAAAAGAGCTTACACTATAGTGGATGAGTGAAACAACAAAAAAGACAAGTAAATTCATAATATGTTAGAAAATGATGAGCAATATGAAGAAAATAAAGCAACGCAAGGTGGAGAAGGAGTGTCTGGGGACAAAGGTTGTTATACTGCTTATGCTCAGTGAAAACTACTGATGAGGGAGGTTTCGATCAGAGACCGGAATAGAAGTGAGAGAATAAATTGTGCATGTACTTGGGGCAATAGCAGAGGTGGGGGCAGGCTTGGTGTGCTCATTATTCAGCTCTAATTTCCAAAGCAAGCTAGCCAAGATGGCTGGAGTGAAGTGAAGGAGGCATAAGAGAAGAGAGGGCTTACCTGTTTATTCTAAGCAAGACAGCACACTATTTCATTTATCAAATAATCACATAATTCCACACCCTGCTATATGCATTATATAAACTCATTTAAACCTCATAACAAACCTAGGAGTTAGCTATTTATTATCCCCATTTTACAGTTGAGAAAACTGAAGCATCTGTACAGGAGTGAGGGAGCTGGGATTTGACCCAAAGCTGTCAGGTCTATGCTCTTAGCAACTACACTACGCTATTGCAGGGATTTAAGCATAGAAATAGGGTGATCCAACTTAAATCACTCTGGATTCTCTGTGGACAATAGATTGTAAGGCACAAATGTAGGGGGAAGTTAGGATACTATTCCAATAATTAAGGTGAATAATGATGGTGGCCTGAACTAGGGTGATAGCGGTAGACATTGTAGAAAGATTAATCTGGGATCTACTTTGAAAAATAGAGCCAATTGGGTTTCTTGGCAGATTCTATGTGCAGAGTATAAGAGAAAGAGAAAAAACCAAAATGATTCCAAGGTTTGTGGTTTGAGCAACTGGAAAGGTAGAACTGACATTTACCGAGATGGGAAGGTGGGGTTGTAGAAGGGAAGCATATTTGGGCCAGGGTGTGGGCCATGAATTGTAAATTTGGCTTTAGACTTTTATTTATTTATTTATTTTTTGACACGGAGTCTCACTCTGTCACCTGGGCTGGAGTACAATGGCTCAATCTCAGCTCACTGCAACCTCTGCCTCCTGGGTTCAAGCAATTCTCCTCCCTCAGCCTCCCAAGTAGCTGGGATTACAGGCACCTGCCCCTATACCCAGCTAATTATTTGTATTTTTAGTAGAGATGGGGTTTCGCCATGTTTGCCAGAATGGCCTTGAACTCCTGACCTCGTGATTCTCCCACCTTGGCCTCCCAAAGTTCTGGGATTACAGGCATGAGCCACCACGCCCAGCTAGACTTGGTAAATTTGAGGTGTCTATAGAAGTCCAAATGCATATGTTGACTAGGCAGTTGGATATATAATTCTGGGATTGGGGAGAAGCCAGGGTTGGAGATAGAAATCTGGGAGTGTCAGTTATGGCCCTGGAGTGAGTACAGATGAAGAAGCAGAAGAGGTTCAAGGATCAAGCCCTGAGGAAACTCCAAAATTTAGAGATCAGAGAGCTGAGGAGGAAGTGGTGAAAGAGATAAATGAGGAGTGGGGAGGAACTAAGAGAGTGTGGTGTCCTGGGAGCAAAGGAAGACAGTGTCCTAAGGAGGGAATAATCAGTTATGTCAACCCAGCTAATAGACTGAAGAAGATGAGTATTTTAGGGTTAGGCATGTGGAGGTCATTTGTGACCAAGAGCTATTTTGGTGGAGTGGTAGGCATGAACATTTTATTGGAGTAGGTTCAAGAGAGAACAAAAGTAGAGGAATCTGAGACAGCAAGTTTAGAGGACTATTATGAGGAGTTTTCCTGCAGCAGAGAAATAGTGTAGTAGTTAGAAGGAATGTTAGGTAGAATTTCTTAAAATCGCAGCTTGAGATAGAGATTTGGGTGAATGCGATTTATAGAGGAATGCCTTGGGATGAGGGAGTAGAGGAAGCAGGAGAGGGGAGGGGATGTTGCTAATCAGGGATGTGTTCTCAGCTGGAGTCTGCCTTAGCTCGATCCCACAGGAGTTTGAATTGTACCATAAAGTTGTTCCTACCTTGAAGCAAAGGGCTGGACCTCGGCACTGCCATGCCAGTCAGTTATGGGTTGTGAGCTGTCCCCATTTGGGAGTGTGTAAATGATTGGCCCAGGCTGCTTCCATTCGGCCAAGGGCAATTCTCTGAAGACAGGAACATCTTGGGATGTTCACGAACCTGCTACAAAAAGGATATAGGAGAGAAACCAACAGTATTCACTATGGCAGTGAATGGAATTTATTTTAAGTTGGAAGATATTATGATGTGTTTCTCATGGATGGGAAAGGCCTAGCTGAGAAGGAAAAATTAATACTTCATAAGAAAGAAAATAACCAATCTCACCTTTGCAATTTACCCTTTAAATAGCATCCATAAATCCTTATCTGAAAAATCATCATTATAATAAAACCTAAAATGTTAAAAATGCTTGACAGATAAAAACAAACTTTAAAAATACATTGCTAAACATGGACATTTCAGAGGCCAAACAAGCATGCCATTTACTAATTCTCTTTCCTTGAACAACTTAATTTACCTTTCTGTGCCTCAGGTTTTTCATCTGTAAAATGGAATATTAGGAATAGTACTTATTATATGATAGGATGTTTGCAAAATTTCTATGAGATAATGTATGAAAAATACCCAAAAAGCACTTGGCTGTTTTCCTCCTTCTCCTTTTCCTCCTTTTTCTTGTCTCAGTAGCTTAACTTCCGTCACATACCTCTTGCACTCTATTCTTCACCATTATTGAAAAACTTGTCATTCTCTGTACACACCACACTGTTTAAAGCTTCCCTGTCTTTTTGGATGTGCTTGCTTTACTGAAATATACATGCCCCATCTTGCTCTTTTTTTCCTGTATCCTCTTATCCTCTTGCTTCTCATTCAAAATACTACTCAGATATCTCTTTCTAATCCTTCCTTATTACTTCCAGAGTCACTTGCTTTTTGCCCAGTACTTTCCTTCATTTCTTGTATTTAATATACTTTCTGTAATGCATTCTACTCATTCAATAGTATTGAGTATTCCAGGTTCTATCCTAGTTGCTGTATTCCATATGTATATATTATAATGTATTGTAATGACTTGCTTAAATGTCCTGTCACATCATCTGTAATGTCATCTGCCAAAATTGCAGAAGCCATGTCTGTCATTGTGTCCTCAATGCCTTCTCAGTACATGGGTCTGTATGAGGCCCATTTGGAACTGTTTGGTACCAGACACCTTGATGGGCACTTTCACTTGTGCTTCTAAGCTATACCTAAGCTGATGCTTACTACATATCTTAAGGTAGTACTATTCTCATTGCAGATTTTTCTTTGGAATAGAGTATTAGGAATAACTAATCTAAATTTTTATTAATTTGCAATTCAGAAAAGAATATATTCAGATTTAAGCAAAGTGTCTGGTAGAGTGAGGGGACTTGATTAAGCATGATTGGGAAGTTTAAATTGGATAAAAATACAATACAATGAATAGCTACAGAGACTTATGTCATATTTCTTATTACCAGTAATAATGAATAAAATCAGGTTGTTTTTAAATGCAGGTTTTTTTTTCTCTCCTTTTCAATGATTTCAGCATGATTGTTGAAGATGGCAGCTGAGAGAATTTGTTGATAGAGGGTCACTTGACTCATAAATACCTGGGTCCTCCCTGTATTTGCTTCTTGTTTCTGAATTGTTGTACAAGGATATAAGGAAAGAGGAATTAAATAAGGTAGAACATTTTTTAACCTCTGGTGGTTTTGGCTCTAAACCTCAGGTAGAACTTGTGGTACAGCAGCTTGATAAGGCAAGGCTGGATCCCATGGGGAATGCCTTCTGCCTTCAAGGAGCTGGCGTCGGAGGCCTGAAACCAACATAAGCCTAGACCGCATAGGAGAGGAGAGAGAAGAGAGAGAGGAGAGAGAGGGGAGAGAGAGGAGAGAGGTTTACTGAGAAGAAGAGGAGTAGCAGCCAGCGTTTGTTAAGAGCTTGCCATGAGTTAAGCCCTGTTCTCGGTGCTTTCTGTATTAATTCTTTTAATCCTTGATTGACTTAACTTTTTTTCTTTTAAATCTTATTTGATTAGTCTTTTACTTCTGTGAGGTAAGTACTATTATTAATCTTCTGCATATGAGGAAACTGAGGTATAGAGTGATTGACTTGTTCAAGGTCACTCAACAAATCAGTGTCAAAGAACTTAACCGATCATAAAAGAGCTTCCTCTTTTTGGGATGGGGGATGGGAGAGGGATGGACAGGAACCTTGACACTTGTTCCGAAATTATTATCTGCTAGAGATGAATCGGAAAGGAGAATGATCTATGCAATTGATGATGCATCTTTATAGAATATAACTGGTAAAAAAATGAAGAGAAGAATACAGTTCGATTTAACAAATATATTTCAAGCATTTCCTGTATGCAAGGGACTGTAGTAGGTGCTGGAAGTATAAAGAAGAACAGAACATTGTCTCTGTCACAGGAAAGGTGGCAGGAGAGACACATGTATGAAGAGGTCATCTCTGTCTGGTAGAAGTAGATGGCATAATTGGAGCGCAGGGCAGAGAAGCCTACCTGGGGGTTCAGAAAAGGTTTCCAGCAAGTAATTTTGACTGAGCTGAGTTTTAAAGGATGAGGAAAGTCACTTAGATAAAGAAAAAGGGCAGGACATTCTAGGAAGAGGAGACAAAAGGAACAAAGCTGTGTTCCAGAATTGTGTCTGTTTGGAATAATCTACACTTGGTTTTACTAAACTCTCAAAGGCAAAGAACTAGATGATGTGGGAGGAGGCTGGAGAAAGAAACGAGGCTCAAATTTTAGAGATTCTTATAGGCTGTGCTAAAGTGTTAGGGGTTGGGCGTGTCCTATATACATTAAAATGTATGCTAGAGATGTGATCAAAATAGTGTGGTAAACTGGAGTGGAAATCAATGCAATAGAGAGACCAAGAGAGATCCATGCATCATCAGTAGAAATTTAGGTTATAATAAAGGTGATATTTCAAATCCATGGAGGTAAGTATAACCTATGCAATTAATAGTGTTAGGAAAATTAGTTACGGGTAGATAAAAAAGGGAAAGTAGACTATTACTTTATATCACCCACAAAAATAAACTTCAGGTGAGTTAAGCAGCTGAACATAAAAGAAATTTAAAAGTATTTGGTGATTATATTGGAGCACATTTTTATAAGATTGGAGGTGAAAAAGGCCTTCTTAAACAAGACATAAGTACCAGAAGCCATAAAAGAAATGATCGACAAATAAAACCCCATAAAAATTAAAAATCATCTTTGCACAATAAAAAGCATGATAAAGTTAAAAGATGAGTAATGTGCTGAGAAAACTCTTTGTAGCCTATTTAATGGATGACTGATTATTGTGTAGGATGTATACAGAGCTTGTATAAGTCACTAAAAATCAGAAATATGGATAGAGGTCATAAATAGGCAATTTACAGGAGAAATACCAGAGGCCAATATAAAGATGGTCACAAAAAGATGCTCTTCAACACTAAATTAGGTAAATATGAATAAAATATAAAGAATAGAAAATTTGGTGGGGATATTGAGAAACAGCCACTTTCATACATGGTTGGTGGTAGTGTAAATTAATGTGGCATTTTTGGAAGGCAATTTGGTGTTGATCTATTCAAATAAATAACGCGCTCTTGTGGACAACTAACTACACCAACTGCCTGTGATTTCTGTTTGGGAATCAAAGCACTTCTAGGTAAGCTGGCCCCATCTACAGCTTCAGATGAGTGGCATATGACTTAAGCATGTCAGGATATTTCATCCCTCTGGCCACAGTGATTGATGGTGCAGGAGTGGCCATATGACCTAAGCTAATCAAATCAGAGAGAATCTCAGGACTTTTCCTTAGAATTCAGGGTCAAAGCATTCCTCCTTTCTTGATGGATGTAGATGGGGAATCTTGTTGCCTTGGAAGATGTTGGCAGCTAACTGGGATCAAGGAAGTGAACTATCCTTAGGAGGAAGTGAATATTAGGGAATGTAGAAGAGAAAGATGGGAAGAAATGGGGGTCCACTGGGTCAAATCTTTTCTAAAGCAAGTTCCTCCCCAAAGTTTGGATCAAACGAGTCTAATATTTTCCTCTTTGCTTACACTGATCTGCATTGAGTTTTCTATCACTTGAAGCCCAAAGTTCCTAACTGATACGTGCACATGTGCTTTAACTGAGTAATGTAATTTCTATGAATCTATTGTAAGGAAATACTTGGACATGTGCACTAAGATGTTTATTCCAGCCTTATCAACAATATGTGAAAAATTGGAAACAATGTAAATACTAATTGAAGAGTCATTAAATTATCATAGATCTATATATGGAACATCATATAGCCATTAAACAGAATGAGGTAGACCTTCATTTACTTTTAATATACACATATTATAAGTGTATACAGATATACATATATGATAAATAAACAGGAGACTGAATGGGTGCTCACCAAATAGTGATATTAGCTATCTTGAGGGAGAGTAATGAGAATTGGGGAAATGTGAAGGGGGGACTTTCATTGCTTACTCTGTATATGCTATATTATAAATATATATTTATAATTACTCAGTAATATTATATTATTAAAAAATGGAACACTATGCTGCATTTAAAAGATGTTAGTTATGTCTTTATTCTATAGGCTAGTGATTCTAAAACTTTAGTCAGCATAATGAATGTCTGTGGCATTTTTAAGAATGAAGTTTCCTGGGCCCTACCCTCTGAATCTGAATCAGTAGAGTATATACAGTATATACATACTACCTGAGTATCATGGCTTGACGTTTTCAAAGCTCACCTTAGAGGCTATGCTGCAGAGAGTGTGGATTTAAGTGGGACAGAGCCAAGTTGAGAGATAAATTAGGAGGCTAATGTAATAGTTTAGGTGAAAGATGGCAGCTTGGACAAAGGTTGTGTTAATGGGATAGTGATATAATCCAGCTAAAGAACACATTATCTGGCATATAGTAGGCACTTAATAAATGTCAGCCTCCATCGTCAGCAGCACCACTACTACTTCTATTACTACCACTATGAAGGATTCAAAAAACACTTGAAAATTAAAATCAGCAAGTAAGAACATAAGAGACTTCAATAAAATATTAAGTGGGCCAAATTAATATATACTTATAATATCAATATTAACATTCTTGTGTTTCATATCTATATGTACATTTGTGAAAAATGCTATAACATGAAAATAGAGAACAAATTTTCTTTTCTTTCTTTCTTTTTTGAGACAGGATCTCACTCTGTCACCCAGGCTGGAGTGCAATGGTGTGATCACTGCTCACCACAACCTCGACCTCCCTGGGCTCAAGTGACTCCTACTTCAGCCTCCCAAGTAACTGGAAGTTACTTGGGAGTAACAGGTGTGCACCACCCAGTCTGGCTAATTTTTGTATTTTTTGTAGAGACAGGGTTTTGCTATGTTGCAAGGTTGAAACAGGCTGGTCTCAAACTCCTGGGCTCAAGTGATCTGCCCACTTCGGCTTCCCAAAGTGCTGGGGTTACAGGCGTGAGCCACTGTGACCAGCCCCATATTTTATTTTCAAATGCTCATTCACGATCAACAAACAAAAATTATACAACAACATTCTTTGATGACAATATAGGAAAATTAACAATAACAAAAAACCCAAACAATGAAAGTCTTTACCTCTTAGAAATTAAGATATTCTTTTCTAAACAACTCTTGATTCAACTAAAAAATATAAATCAAAATTGTAGAACATCCAAAAATAATTATAATGAAAACTTTGTGTAATAGAAGCTATAAGCTAAGCAGTACTTAAAGGAGATACAGCCTTAAATACTTACATAAACTACAGAATGAAACAAAATCGAATTAAGTATTCAACTCAAGAAGTTTGAAAAAGACAACAAAATAAATGAAAAGTGCGTAAAAATTCATAAAGATACCTGACTAAATTAGTGAGCTAGAAAATAGAAACAGCAACTAATAAAATCAAAACTTGTCCTTTGATATAAACAGCAATTGAGATAAATTGAAAGCTAATGGAACAAAGAAAAAAGTGAGAAAGTGCACATATAAAAAAGAGAAACAAGGGGCAAATCACAAAAACAAAGTAAAAGTCAAGAGGATACTTTGCTAAAGTCTCTGCAAACAAATTGGAAAATAATAAAAAAGACAAATTTATAGGAAAATGTAATTTACTTATTATAACCCCAGAAAAGGTTGAAACTATTAAACGACCAGTTTTTATGGAAAACAAAGTTATCAAAGAGCTCTCCCTTGGAAGAACATCCAGGGAAGTCTACCTCGCTCTTAAAATGCAGGTAATTCCACTGCTATTTAAATTGTTCCAGCTCATAGAAAAGCAACTATCACAAGTATCACAAATTCTGGCAAATAATTCACAAAAACAAAACTTTGGATCAACTTCACTCACAGATGTTGAGGAAAAATCCTAAGTTAAATATCAGCTAGAAGTGTTCCACAGCACATTAAAATAATGAGATAACATGATCAAAGGGATTTTATTCTAGGCAGGCAAAGAGTAGTTCAATAGGAGGAGAAAAATCATATGACCATCTCCATCTAAGCTGAAAAGGCATTTGACAAAATTCAACATCCATTCTTGATAAAAACACTCAAGAATGGAAAATAAAATAGAAAGTCCAGAAATAGATCTAAGTATACAGATGTCCATAGTGTATGCTAAAGGTGACATCTCTAGTCAGAGATGAATAATAAATAGTTCTGAGGCCACTGGAGCAGTGGCACCTGAGTCTTTACAACTATTATTTACATTTTACATAAATGTTTTATACATATGTATGACCCATTCAGAATAAAATAATATACAATGGTGACAATTCTGCTTTAACAGGCTAAAGGGTTTTTTGGCCATTACAAAGCTTCCTTTATCTATGAATAAATGAGCTTGTTACCCAATACACAAGCAACTCATACAATCAGTAAGAAAAACACAGGAAATCCAATAGAAAAATATGCAAGACTCACAAAAAAGCAATTCATAGAAGGCTATTAAGTCTATAAAGAAATGTTTGTCCTCACCATTAATCAGATAAATTAGAATCACACAGGAATACTGGCTTATCTGCTTGGCAAAAAAATACCACGGGCTGATGGAGGATATGAAGAAACAAGCTTCATGAGGGCAGGGACATTGTCAGTGTGTTCATCCTTGAATCCCCAGGATAACTGATTTTTGCACTTGTGGATGCCAGTTTGTCCACATGTCCCCGGGTCTGTCTGCTTGGCTGGTTGCCCTCTGAACTGATTCTGGGCTTGGGCTTGACTTGCTTTGGCTGCTTGGAAAACAACAATACAATTAGAGATTTGCAGTGTTTATGCTTTAGGGCTTATCCTCTCTTGCTGCTCTTTGGATTCTGAGACTGCCATTTGAAGAAGCCCAGGCAAGCCTCCTGGATGATGAGAGACCCCATGGAGCAGAGATGAGCTGTCTCGACTGAGGTCCCAGTGATGTGAGAGAGGCAGTTTCCCACTGACCTGGAGGCTGATGCGTGGCTGTGCGTAGGACAGAGAGCCCAGCTGACATCACCTAAGATAAAAAGTGCTTAATCATATTTTGCTTGAATGAACAAATCTGCAACTTAAAGCAAATGGAACAGAAAAATTGCCCAGCTGCAAATAGAGATCTCCACTATTGAGGACAAAAGCTTGCAACCACTGAAAAAATTCAAAGACCATCCTGTGGATTTGGAAGTGACTGGCTTCCACGAATGCAAGTTTGCTCATTCACCACACATAGTTGTCATTGGGGCAGTGGTATATGTACCACAACTGTGTGTATTAAATGAACAAAGTATCAACCTGTGACCACTGGGAAGGAGATTTAATGATCATTCAGATGCATAAATTCTGGTGTTTAAAGAAATGCAAATCTGGCTCATTACTTAAGATTAATAGGAAAACCCATAAACTGGGTTTGAAGTGTTATTAGTTCTGTGATCTTAGGTTCACTAGCCTCTGAGTGTCTTACTCAGAATGGAGATAATAATACCTGCCTTGGCCGGGTGCGGTGGCTCATGCCTGTAATCCTAGCACTTTGGGAGGCCGAGGTGGGTGGATCACCTGAGGTCAGGAGTTCGAGACCAGCCTGCCCAACATGGTGAAACCCTGTATCTACTAAAAATACAAAAAATCAGCCAGGCGTGATGGTGCGCACCTGTAATCCCAGCTACTCGGGAGGCTGAGGCAGGGAGAATCGCTTGAACCTGGAGGCGGAAGTTGCAGTGAGCTGAGATCGCACCACTGCACTTCTGCCCGGGCGATAAGAGCGAAATTCCATCTCAAACAAAACAAAACAAAACAAAACAACAACAAAAACAAACAAACAAACAAACAAAAAACCCTGCCTTGACAACCCATAGGTTTGTTCTGAGAATTTTATAAGACGATAGAGTGAGTGCCATTTGTAAAATGAGAAGCTACACAGAGTAACGGACAGGCTAATGCACTGAAAGTTTTGCTTGATCCTTTTTATGTACCTTTTACCTAATGGCACATCATGCCTCATTCTACAACCCGGGGAATGTACGTTGGCTTTACCCTTTATTTAATTTTCCCTGAGACCCTGCTGAGCTCCTTGGGACATAGTAGGCCTTTGAAAAACCTTGTTTTTATTCATTGTAACTGTCAGATGCAGCCATGTAGAAACTAACCCTGTTACAGAATGTCTTCTAATTTGGTAAGGAGCTTAAATGACATGAAGGGGGGAATAATGAATAGAGCAACTGGTGAGCAAAATTAAATTTCTTGCTCAGGCCTCTGGCTGGCTGTGGTGAACATGCTCATAACTGAAGTGTTCATGCTAAGAAGGTCTCTTGTGATTAAAGGAATATTGAAGAATATTTGTTTCATAAAAGAGATGATGTTGTAATAAATAGTCCCAGGCCTGCACTCCCTTTGGATAGAAATGCTCTGTTAGGCAGAGCCCTTGGAGAGATTCACTGGTGGTGATATATCAAAAGCCAGCTCTTTATTCCTAACTGTGAAAAACTCCATACTGAGGTTGTTCTATGTGCAAAATTAGTTGGTTTAACTCTTCAGTGTTTTTATCCCTGCTAGTGTTTTTATCACTGAAGCATAGATCATGCTGTCTACCTTCTCACCCAGAGGAGTCCCTTTGGCAACATCACTGCTGGGCTTCATCTAGCCTCAGCTTAACGATTCCAGTAACAGGAGGCTCATTGCTTTCAGAGGCAGTGCTTCTGAAGGCACTCCTTTGGTAATTGTTAAAACAAAGCAGCCATGTTTGTTCTTGTTTGTTCTAATTCCATCCTCTGGGGCATGACAGAGTATGTCTCCTTTCTCTCCATGGTTCAAATGTAGGGTTTACAGAAGAGCAAACATCCTTCGTGTTTCCATTCCTCTCTCTGATCATTGCTCCTCCCTCTCTTTTCTGCTCCTCTGATGACAGTCGCAAATCCTAATGATCCAACCATACTTTCACTTCCACAAGTTCTGCACCTTTGCCAACTCTCTCTTCAGACTTCTCCCATGATTACTATTTGAAGTTGGAAAAAGGCGATGTCCCTAGACTGACAGTTTAAATAATATTTCCACTTACCATTTCTACAAATTTCTCTAGGGTCTTCAAACTTTGGCCAGTGTATTTAGGATGTATATTGAATAGATTCTTATATTTTCTCAAGAAGTGACAAATGATAATTATTTGCATTTTTTAATTATTAAAACTGACAATACATTAGTAGGATTCTAAGTAGACCAGCTAAAGGAGATCAAATTAGCCTTTAAAGTGTCTTAGCCCTGGTGGGCAGAGTCTTTGCATCTTTCATGCTTCCTTTACCACAGTGCCTGACACATAGTAGGTGCTCAATTAATGTTGAGTGAATATGTGAAAAAATCAGGCAAAGGAAAATTTTTACATATGTACTTGTATTCATGAGGACAAGAACAATGCCTTAAACATTTTGAAGGCAGTAGGCATTTGTTGGGATGATAAGAAGGCAGCAGGACCTGGTTAGCATCTGCAGGAAGGAAGTCTTGATGAGATGAGCTTAGTTCCATCACATGTAGCCACTTAGGTGCACTGGAGGTAGAGCTAAGAGGAATATGGTATGGTTTGACTCTGTGTCCCCACCCAAATCTCATCTTGAATTGTAATTAGCACTTGTTGAGGGTGGGAGGTGATTGGATCATGGGGGCAGTTCCCCCATGCTGTTCTCGTGATAGTGAGGGAGTTCTCATGAGGGCTGATGGTTTTAAAACTGTTTGGCAGTTTCTCCTTCATTTACTCACTTTCTCCTGCTGCCTTGTGAAGAAAGTGCCTGCTTCCCCTTCTGCCGTGATTGTAAGTTTCCTGAGGCTTCCCCAGCAATGCGGAACTGTAAGTCAATTAAACCTCTTTCCTTTATAAATTACCCAGTCTTAGGTAGTATTCTTTATAGCAGTGTGAAAACAGACTAATAGAGAACCTGAACTGGATGCTTCTTCCTTGGGTGTGTCTGCCAGTGAAGAGAAATTTTTAAAAATTGTTGGAAATGAAGATATGTGTTTTTTTTTTAAAAAAAGAATCCCAATTATAGAGTATGCTACTGGGCAGAGACTGACTGTGCTCTACAGTGATTACTCTGAAGAAGAACTAGAGTCCATTTCTGTTCATTGTTAACCCCTTCCCCACTCCTTTTGAGATCTCTGATTCTCTGCGGCCAGTGCCTCTAATTGTCATCTTTGCCTTATTCTAATAAAGTGACTCTATTTAATAAAACTTTCCCTCCTTGAGTGTGCTGGTCACCGGGGAAATCAGTGGTGTTTGAATAATGGCAGAAAATGGAGCAGCCAGAGTGGTGGAGTGCTCCCTGAATCAATGGCTCCAAGTCTTCTGGATTTCTTGAACTAATAAAAAACACAAACCTATGGTTTCCAACTTTGTACTTTGCCAAGTAATGATATTAAAATTTTGTTCAAATTATCATCTTCATTCATCATTGTTTCATACAGAATTAGAACATTTTTGAAGTTAAAAGTTAGTGTAAGACATGATTATTTTAAGAAAGGCCAATTCTTTAAACAGAATAAAGTCAGCTTTATATCACTTTTTTTTTTTTTTTAAATTTCACTGCAGCAACATTTTGGCATAGACCAGAAATGATAGGGCAACCACTTCTACACTGAGCTGGATGGCTGGAAGGCACAGTAGTGGCGGGAGGGCTGTCCCATCCCTGGGTCCTAGGGCTCATAGAACATCATTTGGCTGGATCTGGCTAGTCAGCTGGTGACCAGGCTAATAGGAATTTGTACATATTTGCAGATTTGATGAATTTTGCAACATTTCTCTTGGATTATGACTTTCTGATCAGAGTTGTCATCACAATGACCCTACTAACGGCAGGTGAAAGATAAAAATTTTTCAGCCTGGAGAAATATTTATGACCTGACAATTCAATTGGTGGGAGAATCCTATGGTCATCTCTGTAAGGCTGTAGTATTGTACCAAATTAAATTGCCCCTTTTCAAAATATTCCATTATTGGTATTTTATTTTTCTGTTTATGAGGAAGATCATGTTTTAAGTATAAGATTTGTGGTTGTAAACAATAGAAATCAACTCGTGTTAAGTAGATAAGGACATTAAAATAACACTTTTTTTTTTGAGACAAGGTCTCACTCTGTCAGTCAGGCTGGGGTGCAGTGGGTTGATCTCAGCTCACTGTAGGCTCAACCTCCCAGGCTCAACTGATCTTCTTGACTCAGTCTCCCGAGTAGCTGTGACTACAGGCTTGCTCCACATTGTCCAGCTGATTTTTGTATTTTGTAGAGACGGCGTTTCACCATGTTCCCAGGCTGGTGTTCCCTGGGCTCAAGTGATCTGCCCACCTTGAGCTCCCAAAGTGCTGAGATTACAAGCATGAGCCACTGTGCCCAGCCAAAATAATTATTTTTAACTGACAAGAATTGTATGTATTTATGATGTAAAACATGATGTTTTGATATATGTATACATTGTGGAATGTCTAAAGCTAAGTAACATATGCATTACCTCACATACCATTTTTTTTGTGTCTAGTGAGAACACCTAAAATCTATTCTCTTAGCACTTTCAAATATATAGTACGTTGCTATTAACTATAGTGACTGCATTGTACAATAATCTCTTGAACTTACTTCTCTCGCCTAACTGAAATTTTGTATCCGTTGACCAACATCTCTCCAGTACCCCACTCCCCAGGAGCCTTGTAATCACCATTTTATTCTCTCCTTCTAGGAGTTTGACTTTTTTTTAGATTCTACATATAAGTGACAGCTGTGTCTTTCTGTGCACAGCTTATTTCACTTAGCATAATATCCTCCAGGTTCATCCATTTTGTTGCAAATGACAGGACTTCCTTATTTTTAAAGCTGCATATTATTCCACTGTATATATATACCACATTTTCTTTATCTTTTCACCCATCAATGGACAGTTTGATTCCATGTTCTGGCCATTGTGAATAATGCTGCAATGAATGTGGGAGCACAGAATCTTCCTTCAACATAGTGGTTTCATTTCTTGTGACTCTATACTTGGTAGTAGGATTGCTGGATGATATGGTAGATATTTAACTTCTTGCAACATTGTCACACTGTTTTCCTCAAGTGGCTATATTTAATGGCTGTATTAATTTACACTCTCACCAACAGTGTGTAAGAGTTCTCTTTTCTCCACAACCTTGCCAACACTTATCTCTCATCTTTTTGATAACAGCCATTCTACCAGGTGTCAGGTGATATCTCACAGTGGTTTAAATTTACATAATTAGAGATGATGAGCATTTTTTATATACTTTTTAATATACTTCTTGGCCATCTGTATATCTTCTTTTGAGAAATATCTATTCAGGTCCTTGGCCTATTTTTTTTTCATTTCTTTAAGCCACACATATTTATTGAGAGCAGACCAAGTGCAGATACCTTTCCAGGTGCTGGAGATTTAGGACTGAATGAGACAAAGTTCCTGCTCTCATGGTGCCTGCCTTTTAGTATATGCAGAAGGATACTAACCTAAATATACATAAAGCTTGTAATATATTAAATGGTGACAAGTGTTATGGAGAAAAAGAGAGGATAAAAGAGGAGAGGGCCGTGGTGGGCATGGACACAGAGCCTCCTGATGTGGGGACATGGATGGACAGGGCGAGAAGCCCACCCTCTTGGCCTCTTGGCCTCTCAGGCTGGTGTGCTGGATGCTCTGCATGTCCCGCTCCATCCACTTGCTTTGCAGAAGTGGAATCCAGGGAGGTTCTCCTGTGGGTGGTCTTCCTTTGCCCATTTTTAAATTATTATTATACTTTATGTTCTGGGATACATGTGCAGAATGCGCAGGTTTGTTACATAGGTATATATGTGCTATGGTGGTTTGCTGCACCCATCAACCTGTCATTTACATTAGGCATTTCTCCTAATGCTTTCCTTCCCCTTTCCTCCCACCCCCCAACAGGCCCCAGTGTGTGATGTTCCCCTCCTTGTGCCCATATGTTCTCATTGTTCAACTCCCACTTATGAGTGAGAACATGCAGTGCTTGGTTTTCTGTACCTGTGTTAGTTTGCTGAGAATGATGGTTTCCAGCTTCATATGTGTCCCTGCAAAGGACATGAACTCATTCTTTTTTATGGCTGCATAGTATTCTATGGTGTATATGTGCCACATTTTCTTTATCCAGTCTATTATTGATGGGCATTTGGGTTGGTTCCAAATCTTTACTATTGTGAATAGTGCTGCAGTAAACATACATGTGCATGTGTCTTTATAGTAGAATGATTTATATTACTTTGGGTATATATCCAGTAATGGGATTGCTGAGTCAAATGGTATTTCTGGTTCTAGATCCTTGAGGAATCGCCACACTGCCTTCCACAGTGGTTGAACTAATTTACACTCCCACCAACAGTGTAAAAGCATTCCTATTTCTCCACATCCTCTCCAGCATCTGTTGTTTCCTGACTTTTTAATGATCACCATTCTAACTGGTGTGAGATGGTATCTCATAGTGGTTTTGATTTGCATTTCTCTAATGACCAGTGATGATGAGCTTTTTTTCATATGTTTGTTGGCCGCATAAATGTCTTCTTTTGAAAAATGTCTGTTCATATATTTTGTCCACTTTTTGATGGGGTTTTTTTTTTTTCTGTGCTTAAATTTGTTTAACTTCCTTGTAGATTCTGGATATTAGCCCTTTGTCAGATGGATAGATTGCAAAAATTTTCTCCCTTTCTATAGATTGCCTGTTCATTGTGATGGTAGTTTCTTTTGCTGTGCAGAAGCTCTTTAGTTTAATTAGATCCCATTTGTCAATTTTGACTTTTGTTGCCATTGCTTTTGGTGTTTTAGTCATGAAGTCTTTGCCCATGCCTCTGTCCTGAATGTTATGGCCTAGGTTTTTCTTCTAGGGTTTTTATGGTTTTAGGTCTTACGTTTAACTCTTTAATCCATCTTTAGTTAATTTTTGTATAAGGTGTAAGGAAGGGGCCCAGTTTCCATTTTCTGTATGTGGCTAGCCAATTTTCTTAACACCATTTATTAAATAGGGAATCCTTTCCCCATTGCTTGTTTTTGTCAGGTTTGTCAAAGATCAGATGGTTTTAGATGTGCGGCTTTATTTCTGAGGCCTCTGTTCTGTTCCATTGGTCTGTGTATCTGTTTTGGTACCAGTACCATGCTGTTTTGGTTACTGTAGCCTTGTAGTATAGTTTGAAGTCAGGTAGCATGATGCCTCCAGCTTTGTTCTATTTGCTTAGGATTGTCTTGGCCATACGAGCTCTTTTTTTCATTCCATATGAAATTTAAAGTAGTTTTTTCCTGATTCTGTGAAGAAAGTCAAGGGTAGCTGGATGGGAATAGCACTGAATCTATAAATTACTTTGGGCAGTATAGCCATTTTCATGATATTGATTCTTTCTATCCATGAGCATGGAATGTTTGTTTTGTGTACTCTCTTATTTTTTTGAGAAGTGATTTGTAGTTCTCCTTGCAGAGGTCCTTCACATTCCTTGTAAGTTGTATTCCTAGGTATTTTGTTCTCTTTGTAGCAATTGTGAATGGGAGTTCACTCATGATTTGACTCTCCATTTGTTTATTATTGGTGTATAGGTATGTTTGTGATTTTTGCACATTGATTTTGTATCCTGAGACTTTGCTGAAGTTGCTTATCAGCTTCAGGAGTTTTTGGGCTGAGATGATGGGGTTTTCTAAATATACAATCATGTCATCTGCAAACAGAGACAATTTGACTTCCTCTCTTCCTATTTGAATACGCTTTATTTCTTTCTCTTGCCTGATTGCCCTGGCCAGATCTTCCAATACTATGTTGAATAGGAGTGGTGAGAGAGGGCCTCCTTGTCTTGTGTTGGTTTTCAAAGGGAATGCTTCCAGTTTTTTCCCATTCAGTATGATATTGGCTGTGGGTCTGTCATAAATAACTCTTATGATTTTGGGATATGTTCCATCAATACCTAGTTTATTGAGAGTTTTTAGCATGAAGGGCTGTTGGATTTTGTTGAAGGCCTTTTCTGCATCTATTGAGATAATCATGTGGTTTTTGTCATTGGTTCGGTTTATGTGATAGATTATGTTTATTGATCTGCATATTCGAACCAGCCTTGCATCCCAGGGATGAAGCTGACTTGATCGTGGTGGATAAGCTTTTTAATGTGCTGCTGGATTCCGTTTGCCAGTATTTTATTGAGGATTTTTCCGTTGATGTTCATCAGGGACATTAGCCTGAAATTTTCTTTTTCTTTTTTTTTGTTGTGTCTATGCCAGGTTTTGGTATCAGGATGATGCTGGTCTCATAAAATGAGTTAGGGAGGAGTCCCTCTTTTTCTATTTTTTGGAATAGCTTCAGAAGGAAATGGTACCAACTCCTCTTTGTACCTCTGTTAAATTCGGCTGCGAATCCATCTGGACCTGGGCTTTTTTTTGGATGGTAGGCTTTTAATTACTGCCTCAATTTCAGAACTTGTTATTGGCCTATTCAGGGATTCGACTTCTTCCTGGTTTAGTCTTAGAAGAGTGTATGTGTCCAGGAATTTATCCATTTCTTCTAGATTTTCTAGTTTATGTAATAGAGATGTTTATAGTATTCTCTGATGGCAGTTTGTATTTCTGTGGGATCAGTGGTGATATCCCCTTTATCATTTTTTATTGTGTCTATTTGATTCTTCTCTCTTTTCTTCTTTATTAGTCTGGCTAGCGGTCTGTCTATTTTGTCAATCTTTTCAAAAAACCACCTCCTGGATTCATTGATTTTTCAAAGGGCTTTTTTGTGTCTATAGCTTTCAGTTCTGCTCTGATCTTAGTTATTTCTTGTCTTCTGCTAGCTTTTGAATTTGTTTGCTTTTGCTTCTCTAGTTCTTTTAATTGTGATGTTAGGGTGTCGATTTTAGATCTTTCTCACTTTCTCTTGTGGGCATTTAGTGCTATAAATTTCCCTCTAAACACTGCTTTAGCTGTATCCCAGAGATTCTGGTACGTTGTGTTTTGTTCTCAAAGAACTTATTTATTTCTGCCTTAATTTCGTTATTTAACCAGTAGTCATTTGGAGCAGATTGTTCAGTTTCCATGCAGTTGTGCGGTTTTGCGTGAGTTTCTTAATCCTGAGTTCTAATTTGATTGCACTGTGGTCTGAGAGACTATTTTGTATGATTTCCATTCTTTTGCATTTGCTGAGGAGTGTTTTGCTTCCAGTTATGTGGTCAATTTTAGAATAAGTGATATGTGGTGCTGAGAAGAATGTATATTCTGTTGATTTGGGGTGGAGAGTTCTGTAGATGTCTATTAGGTGCACTTGATCCAGAGCTGAGCTCAAGTCCTGAATATCTTTGTTAATTTTCTGTCTCATTGATCTGTCTAATATTGACAGTGGGGTGTTAAATTCTGCCACAATTATTGTGTGGGAGTTTAAGACTCTTTGTAGGTCTCTAAGAACTTGCTTTATGAATCTGGGCACTCCTGTATTAGGTGCATATATATTTAGGATAGTTAGCTCTTGTTGCATTGATCCCTTTACCATTATGTAATGCCCTTCTTTGTCTTTTTTGATCTTTGTTGCTTTAAAGTCTGTTTTATCAGAGATTAGGATTGCAACCCCTGCCTTTTTTTGCTTTTGATTTGCTTGGTAAATATCCCTCCATTCCTTTATTGAGCCTATGTGAGTCTCTGCATGTGAGATGGGTCTCCCGAATACAGCACACCGATGGGTCTTGACTGTTTATCTGATGTGACATTCTTTGTCTTTTAATTGGGGCATTTAGCCTATTTACATTTAAGGTTAATATTGTTATGTGTGAACTTGATCCTGTCATTATGATGCTAGCTGGTTATTTTGCCCATTAGTTGATGCAGTTTCTTCATAGTGTCGATGGTCTTTACATTTTGGTATGTTTTTGCAGTGGCTGGTACCGGTTTTTCCTTTCCATATTTAGTGCTTCCATCAGGAGCTTTTGTAAGGCAGGCCTGGTGGTGACAAAATCCCTCAGCATTTAGTTATCTATAAAGGATTTTATTTCTCCTTCACTTTTGAAGCTTAGTTTGGCTGGATATGAAATTCTGGGTTGAAAATTCTTTTCTTTAAGAATATTGACTATTAGCTCCCACTCTCGTTTGGCTTGTAGGGTTTCTGCAGAGAGATTGGCTGTTAGTCTGGTCTTCCCTTTGTGGGTAACCCGACCTTTCTCTCTGGCTGCCCTTAACATTTTTTCCTTCATTTCAGCCTTGGTCAGTCTGACAATTATGTGTCTTGGGGTTGTTCTTATTGAGGAGTATCTTTGTGATGTTCTCTTTATTTCCTGAATTTGAATGTTGGCCTGTCTTGCTAGGTTGGGAAAGTTCTCCTGGATAATATCCTGAAGAGTGTTTTCCAACTTGGTACCATTCTTCCCGTCATTTTCAGGTACACCAATCAAGCGTAGGTTTGGTCTTTTCACATAGTGCCATATTTCTTGGAGGCTTTGTTCCTTTTCATTGTTTTTTCTCTAATCTTGTCTTCATGCTTTCTTTCATTAAGTTGATCTTCAATCTCTGATATTCTTTCTTCCACTTGATCGATTTCGCTATTGATACTTACGTGTGCTTCATTAAGTTCTTGTGCTGTGATTTTCAGCTCCATCAGGTAATTTATGTTCTTCCCTGAACTGGTTATTCTAGTTAGCAATTCCTGTAATCTTTTTTCAAGGTTCTTAGCTTCCTTGCATTGGGTTAGAATGTGCTCCTTTAGCTCAGAGGAGTTTGTTATTACCCACCTTCTGAAGCCTACTTCTGTCAATTCATCAAACTCATTCTCAGTCCGGTTTTGTTCCCTTGCTGGCAAGGAGTTGTGATCCTTTGGAGGAGAAGAGGCATTCTGGTTTTTGGAATTTTCAACCTTTTTGTGCTGGCTGTTCCTTATCTTCGTGGATTTATCTACCTTTGGTCTTTGATGTTGTTGACCTTTGGATGGGGTTTTTGCACGGGGGTCTTTTTTGTTGATGTTGAAGCTGCACCCACAGCTGCCCCTTCCCCCAGGTGCTCTGTCCGAGGGAGATGGGAGTCTTATCTATAAGCCCCTGACTGGGGCTACTGCCTTTCTTTCAGATGCCCTGCCTAGTGAGGAGGAATCTAGAGAGGCAGTCTGGCTCCAGCAGCTTTGCCACACTGTGGTGGGTTCCACACCCAGTTTGAACTTCCCGGTGGCTTATTCACACCGTGAGGGGAAAGCTATCTACTCAAGCCTCAGTAATGGCAGATGCCCCTCCCCCCACCAACCTCTAGCATCCCAGGTCAACTTCAGACTGCTGTGCTGGCAGTGAGAATTTCAAGCCAGTGGATCTTAGCTTGCTGGGCTCCATGGGGGTGGAATCCGCTGAGCAAGACCACTTGGCTACCTGGCTTCAGCCCCCTTTTTAGGGGAATGAACGGTTCTGTTTCACTGGTGTTTCAGGTGCCACTGGGGTATGAAAAAAAAAAAAAAACCTCCTGCAGCTAGCTCGGTGTCTGTCCAAACAGCTGCCCAGTTTTTTGCTGGAAACCCAGGGCCCTGGTGGTGTAGGCACCCAAGGGAATCTCCTTGTCTGTGAATTGCAGAGACTGTGGGAAAAGCATAGTATCTGGGCTGGAGTGCACCTTTCCTCATGTCGTAGTCTTTCACGGCTTCATTTGGCTAGGGGAGAGAGTTCCTCAACCCCTTGCACTTCTCAGGTGAGGCAACACCCCACCCTGCTTTGGCTTGCCTTCCGTGGGCTGTACCCACTGTCTAACCAGTCCCAATGAGATGAGCCGGGTACCTCAGTTGGAAAGGCAGAAATCACCCGCCTTCTGTCTTGGTCTCGCTGGGAGCTGCAGACTGCAGCTGTTCCTATTCGGCCATCTTGCTAGCCTCGTCTCTTTGCTCATTTTAATTTATTTTTATTTTTAATTAATTAATTTGTTTTTTTCTTTGAGACAAGATCTCACTCTGTCACCCAGGCTGGAGTGCAGTGGCATGATCACGGCTCACTGCAGCCACTACCCCCTGGGTGTAGATGATCCTTCCACCTCAGCCTCCCCAGTAGCTGGGACTACATGCACGTGCCACCACGCCCGGCTAATTTTTTGTATTTTTTTGTAGAGACGGGGTTTCGCCATGTTGCCTAGGCTGGTCTTGAATTCCTGGCTTAAGTGACCTGCCTGCCTTGGCCTCCCAAAGGGCTGGGATTATAGATGTGAGCCACTGCACCCAGCCCCTTTGTCCATTTTTAAATTGGGTTGTTTTTATGCTCTTGAGTTTTTTGAGTTCTGTGTATGTTTTGTGTATTAGCCCCTTGTCAGATGTACATTTGCAAATATTTTCTCCCATTGATAAGAAGATTTTGTTTTGAAGGACACTGGGTAGGATGCAAAAAGGACAGTGAGTCTAAAGAGCCAGGCTGGAGAAAAGGCAGGAATGCAGGGGGGCTGGGCACACAGGACCACAGCCAGAATCAAACCCTGAAACAGGTTGCTAAAGACTGTTGCCAACAGCACCACAGCCCGTGCTCCCAGGGTACTATATGTGGCTGCTGCCTCTCCCAGAATGAATCTTTCCTGTCTTGCTTCTTTGTGTTATCAGATTAAGAATTAAAGATAAGGGCGGTTAAACTGGCTAAAGTCACACCCAGTTTGGCATTAGAGTTCAGGGGTAGAGAGCTCACTAACTTTTAGGAATAGGGAAGGCAAGTGTTTACGCTTGAGGCTCATAGAAATCTCTCAAACATCAGAAATGGGAACAGGCAGCCTAAAAGGTAAATATCTACACATGACCACAGGATAAGACTATGCTTTCACGTTATGCCCAAATGCATAAGGTGCAAGTCCGCATGCTGCTTATTTGCAAGAAATCAAGCCTTTTACTATGATCTTTAATTCACTGCTCCCTGGAAATCCCCAGGGCATCTGCCCCTACTCCTCAGATCTTTCTGATTGTTCCTTACCCACTCTGCCCATGGTCTGGCTCTGGGGCTTTCCTTCCTTCTTCAAAAGATCTTACCTCTCACAAGGATGGGTGAGATAAGGCTGCAAAATTAAAAAGATTTTGCTGAATATTTGAGATTAATCAGTGATCATAATTGAGAAAATCTAAATGCATCTCAAACATGGTAGTTGTTTGAATGAAGCCTCATCCACAGGCTATTACCTATGACTCTGTCCTTAAGGCTGAACTGCTGACTGTTGCCACTGTGTCTTCACTTACAGAAACAAGCTCACTTTGTTTCTCCTTCTTTCCTATAAGGAAATAATCTGTGAGATGAAATTTGGCCAACAGAGAATGACAATCTAGTACATATATAGAAATCGCTACTTTGTAGATTCTCTTCCGCGTTTCTTATGTATCAACTCATATAGTCCTCAGGTAGTCCTATGAAAAAGGCTGTTCTCCAGTTTTACAGATAAGAAAACCAATGCACAAAGGGATTAGTAAATTGTAACAAAATCACAAAGCTAGTAAATGGAAGAAGCTAGGATTTGAACTTGGGCAGTATATCCCCACCATCTGAGGGTATAACCATTAAACTATGCTCCCTCTTCCAAAAATACTCATCACAAGGACCAGCCAGCAGATCTGTAACAACCTCTATTCTAGAATAAGATCTCTGCTTGATTCAAGATTTTTCACACAACCAAAAAGTTTATTCAAAGGATTTTTTTTTTCAAATGATAGCAGTTTGTCTCCAAAGTATAATTTAAGTCTTCTTCACCAAAGAAGCAGAAAACCACTTGCAGACTTAAAAATAACAGCTTCCTTGGCTGGGCATGGTGGCTCACACCTGTAATCCCAGCACTTTGGGAGGTTGAGGCAGGCAGATCGCCTGAGGTCAGGAGTTTGGGACCAGCCTGGCCAACATGATGAAACTCCATCTCTACTAAAAATATAAAAATTAGCTGAGTGTGGTGGCAGGCACATGTAATCCCAGCTACTTGGGAAGCTGAGACAGGACAATCACATGAACCCAGGAGGCAGACGTTGTAGTGAGCTGAGACTGCACCACTGCACTCCAGCCTGGGCGACAGAGTGAGACTCTGTCTCAAAAACAAAATAAATAAATAAATAAATAAAAATACCGCTTCCCCTACCTCCAAACCAACAATGCTTTACCCCACCCCCTGCCAAAAAAAAAAAATTCATGGTCTTCAGTCAGAGTCAAATCACTCTGAAATATAAAGTGGGCTTTTCTCAAAATGTTAAGTGCAAAAAACTGGAAGATAGACAGCAGCTATCAGGTGGCAATAAGTCAAGAAATAAATAAGACATGGCCTATTTCATAAAATTTTTTTATTTCTTTGAAGGACAAAAGTTTATGTCCCTGATATTTTTGTTTTACAGGTAGTACTGATTGCTGGAAGTTTTACACTAAAGCCCGTTCATGAGCTTGCATGAAAATAGTGCCTGCTTTAGTGATTTGATGCATTCAGATACCAATACATGCGTGCAATTTATCAATTTGAAATCACTGTGCTGCCTTTTGAGTGTGACATGTAGCTCCATCGTCAGAGTACTGCTAGCAAAACAGTCTTTGAGCTGTGTGAAAAAAATTAGGGAACCTGGGATGGGAAAATTTCTCTTTTAATCCTTTTATCTTTAGTCTTTTAATATTTGAGATGAAAACTCAGGTTAATAAACACTGAGTTTCGTATGAGGCTGTTTAAGATTCACCATTCTGTTTAAATTTTGAGAACAGGCACTTACATTCGTTTTTAAAAGCTCTTCTTTCTTAGATGGGCTCCTTGGATTGACTCTTGCTTTAGTGGTCCTGGCCTCTTTGAAATCTTTTGATCGTATTAGTGTTCAAGTGGGCCCACAAATGAAAGGATTTCAGAGGGGACGGTGGCTTCTCATTAATCCCACACAGCATCCATCCCATCTCAACCATCAGAAACAATCACAGAGGGAGCCTGGAGTTAAGAGGGGAAATGAACACACCACTCACACTCGATAAAGATCTGTATGAACAGTATAAAAAATGTGCTAGGCACCATGGTGACAACACTGACAATATAGTGGCAATAAAACAGATGATGAGAAGTGAAGGAGACTGTCACCCTTTAGTAATTGGGAGCAGAGCCCTTAACCTTTGTGGTCATGTACATATTTGTCCCAAGATATTAGTGTTGAGAATTACTATTATGGCATTTTCATAGCTCTTGGGATTTGCTTTATGGAGAGGCACTGAGTCTAATTCTGTGTTTGGGCTCAATTTGTCATTAGTGTTCGATAAATGTTTGCAATTACTGCAGTATTTAGAGGACTGTGAGCCTGGAGGAGGCTGGCAGGATACCCAGCTAGTCCTCTGGTTCTGTGTTGCTAGGTTCTGCCTGGGGAAGAGCAGGAATAGAAGTGGCAGCTCTGAAATAGCCCTGTTCATGAGCCCTGAGGATCTGTTCGGTAATGGTCCAATAGAACATCAGGGCTCCTGGATGTCCTGCTTATCGTATCACTTCCTTTGAGCCAAGTCCTCCCCTTCTTCTCAGCACCTCTTAGATTTTTTTTTTGTTATTTATTCATCATGTTTGTGTTCGTTCAACAAATATTTAGTGGGTGTATTTTCTAAACCAGGCCATTGTTGCTGGGAGTTGACCATTCAGTGATAAAGAAACAGACATACTTCCTATTTTCATGGAGCTCACATTTTCTCCTGTAGATGAATCAGAACCAAAGAGGATTGTTCAACTACCCATGCCTTGGAATCGAGTTGTGTTGAATAGTATTTGAGCCTGGATAACTGTCTCATATTTAGATATGTTAATAGAGATCATTTAGAACAGAACAAGATTACCTATAGATCTTTAATTCTTAGTTAGTAGACTATGTAAATCAAGAACCCAAGATGTCAAATTTTAGGAAGTGAAAAAGATCCCTTTTGGCTTGTCTTCACTTCACTTTTAAGTTCATCAAAGATGAGGCAGAGGATAATTACAGATAATTTCCCAGGCTGATACATCTATACACCAATAATGCAATCTCAAGCAGCTTTCAAGCCTTGGGGATGGGGTGGGGATGGGGCAGAAACTCAAGAAAATTCAGAAGTTAAAACTTCCTTACTCACCAGAATTTTGCCAGCTTGAGAAAATAGTTTATAGAACTATTGAAAAACCCCAGGCATAATACTACATATATTTCATTTCTTTAAATTTTATTTTAAGTTCAGGGGTACATATGCAGGATGTGTAGGTTTGTAACATAGGTAAACGTGTGCCATGGTTGTTTGCTGCACAGATCATCCCATCACCTAGGTATTAAGCCCAGCGTCCATTAGCTATTCTTTCTGATGCTCTCCCTCCCCACCCCCAAGAGGCCCCAGTGTATGTTGCTCACCCCACATTGTGTCCATATGTTCTCATGATTCAGCTCCCACTTATAAGTGAGAACATGTGATATTTGGTTTTCTGTTCCTGTGTTAGTTTGCTGGGGACAATAGTTTCCAACTCCATTCATGTCCCTGCAAAGGACATAATCTCATTCTTTTTTATGATTACATAATATTCCATGGAGTATTCATACCACATTTTCTTTATCCAGTCTATTATTGATGGGCATTTGGGTTGATTCCATGTCTTTGCTACTGTGAATAGGTTGCAATGAACATACACGTGCATGTATCTTTACAGTAGAATGATTTATATTCCTTTGCATATATACCTGGTAACGGGATTTCTGGGTCAAATGGTATTTCTGGCTCTAGGTCTTTGAGGAATTGCCACACCATCTTCCACACAGGTTGAACTAATTCACACAGTCCCACCAACAGTGTAAAAGCATTCCTTTTTCTCTGCAACCTCGTCAGCATCTGTTGTTCTTTGACTTTTTCATAATTGACATTCTGACTGGTGTGAGATAGTATTCATTGTGGTTTTATTTGCATTTTCAGTGATCACTGATGTTGAGCATTTTCTCATCTGTTTCTTGGCCACATGTATGTCTTTTGAGAAGTGTCTGTTCATGTATTTTGTCCATTTTAAATGTGGTTGTTTGTTTTTTTTCTTGTAAATTTGTGTAAGTTTCTTGTAGATGCCGGATGTTAGACCTTTGTCAGATGGATAAACTTCAAAAATTTCTCCCATTCTGTAAGTTATCTGTTCACCCTGATGATAATTCCTTTTGCCGTGCAGAAGCTCTTTAGTTTAATTAGATCCCATTTGTCAATTTTTGCTTTTGTTGCAATTGCTTTTGGCGTTTTCATCATGAAATCTTTGTCTGTGCCTATGTCCTGGATAGTATTGCCTAAATTTTCTTCTAGGGCTTTTATAGTTTTGGGCTTTACATTTAAGTCTTTAATCCATCTTGAGTTAATTTTTGTGTATGGTGTAAGGAAGGGGTCCAGTTTCAATTTTCTGCATATGGCTAGCCAGCTCTCCCAGCACCACTTATTAAATAGAGAGTCCTTTCTTCATTGATTGTTTCTGTCAGGTTTGTTGAAGATCAGATGGTTGTAGGTGTGTGGTCTTATTTCTGAGTTCTCCATTTGTTCCATTGGTCTATGTGTCTGTTCTTGTACAAGTACCATGCTGTTTTGGTTACTGTAGCCTTGTAGTATAGTTTGAAATCAGGTAGAATGATGTCTCCAGCTTTGTTCTTTTTGCTTAGGATTGTCTTGGCTATTTGGGCCCTTTTTTTTGGTTCCATATGAATTTTAAAATCATTTTTTGTAATTCTGTGAAGAATGTCAATGGTAGTTTAATGGGAATAGCCTTGAATCTATAAATTAGTTTTGGCAGTCTGGCCATTTTCATGATATTGATTTCTTCCTATCCATAAGCATGGAATGTTTTTCTATTTGTTTGTGTCTCCTCTGATTTCTTTGAGCAGTGGTTTGTAGTTCTCCTTGAAGAGGTCCTTCACTTCCCTTGCTAACTATTCCTAAATATTTTATTCTTTTTGTAGCAATGGCACAACACTATATTAAGAAACAATACTTGCTGTGGCCCATCTTATGGACAAAGCTCAAGTGGGCTGAAAGAACCACTTTGCTGGCTTCCATTGAAAAGTCTGCATTTTGCCATTCCAACGGAATGACACACATGGAAGAACTGCCCAAAGTATCTCCTAGCAGATAGAAGAGCAGAGAGGGACATTAGGTGGAAAGTTTTCCAAAGGCCTGGGGAAGGAAGTGTTCCATTACCTGTCTCAGACCTTCTCAGGAGGAAGCTCTTCTTTTAGATAACCCTGTGTTCAACCTCTTCATCTCTTAGGACACTCCACCCACTAGAGTGAGTCCTAATGCTGTGTCTTGGAATGAGATCAATCAAGAGATAGATTCTCCTTTGGGGAGGAGGGGGAGGTAAGAATAAGAAGGCAGGAGCCTCAGGCTTTCCCTAGAGGCCAATCAATGAAGTCATCTAAACTAACACGGGGCAAGGATAATTGCTGAATTTTAACACCATTCTGTAAAGTCCTCACATAGTTTAGTCCAGTGATTTCAAAACCGTAGGATGCGAACTGTTTGTGGGGTCATAAAATCAATTTAGTGGGTCACTGCCTGCAATAAAAAATAAAGTGGAAAATATAAAATATTGGGTCAAGATAAAAAAATAAATCTTTCCTCATTGGTTGTGAAAAATATTTGAACAGCACAGCTGTGATCTATGTGGGTAACTGATAAGAGGGATAAAGATCACGCAAGAGTTAGGGTGGGTGAAATAAGTCCGGTTGGTGCTTCCTTCTCTTCTCTTTCTTCTCAGTATACATGCTATTTGGCCATCTGTAGAGCTACTTAATTTGTTATTGACAAAGGGGAAGTGGAATCTTTCTGATGCCGTTTGACTGGAACCAATATTTCCAGCTTGGCCATTATCTAGAATCACTTCCACTTGACTTGCTTTCATTATATTGATAGCCTTGAAGAAAACTCCCACCAGACATAGTCAAGTACCCTATTGAATGTCCCAAAAAACTACTGGCACGACACATCGACAACAGCATGGACGTTGTCACAGACCAAAAACAAAATCCAAAATGAACCTCACCCCCTGTACTATCTTGGTACTAGCTGATTTAGGTCTTAGGTTCATAAGAACAGCATCATAAAATACGTGGTCCCTGCCTTCGAAGCTTTCTTCAGCTTACTCCCTGCCTTTGACACTCTTTAAAAGTGTCGAATTTGAGTTTAGAAACATTGAAATAATTATATGAATCACAGGTTATTAAAACCGTTAAGTCAAGTTTCACTTAAAACTGCCTTCTTAGATATTTTAAGTTCAGCCTAAAGGTTTCTCTGTACATCATGAACTATAACAAGTGGGAGTGTAAACAGACCATAGCCTACACTTGTGCCAGTCACCGAGTTTTGGCCAATCTCATGTAGCCAACTGTTCGAAGTGTGTTCAAATAGGACAAATGCCGAGCTGTCACCAATCCAGCTGTTTCTGTACCTCACTTCTGTTTTCTGTACGTCACTTTCCTTTTTCTGTCCATGTATCTTTTTTTTTTTTTCCCAAGGTGGAGTCCTGCTCTGTTCCAGGCTGGAGTGCAGTGGCACAATCTCGGCTCACTGCAACCTCTGCCTCCTGGGTTCAAGCGATTCTCCTGCCTCAGCCTTCTGAGTAGCTAGGATTATAGGCACGTGCTACCACGCCTGGCTAATTTTTGTATTTTTAGTAGAGATGGGGTTTCACCATGTTAGCCAGGCTGGTCTCAAACTCCTGACCTTGTGATCCGCCGGCCTTGGCCTCCCAAAATGCTGGGATTACAGGCATGAGCCACTGCGCCCAGCCTCTGTCCATAAATCTTCTTCCACCTCATGGCTCCGCTGGAGTCCCCAAGCCTACTCTGGCTCAGAAGGCTGCTGGATTCACCAGTCACTCATTGCTCAATTAAACCTCTTTAAATTTAATTTGGCTGAAGTTTTTCTTTTATTAAAACAATAGCTGGAGTAATTTCTTTCTAATTCTGCTTTTCTTTGTCATTCTTACTGTCTTCATTGTACAGATAAGGAAACTGGGATCCAGGTGGAATGAGCGAAGCAGGGGAGGGAGATGCGGTGGATTAACTTTGGCCCGTGAGGAAGGACCTGGGACCTGTCGGAGCACTGGTTTTGGCTGATGAAAGTGGAGAAGGTGACAGAAAGCCTCACCCTGAGGCTAGAGACAGGGGCAGTGGGGCTAGGGTAATAGGCTGCTTGGCAGAAAACTCAGAAAGACTACATGGACTGAATATAAATACAACCAGTATTCTTATATTTCTGATATTTCATTGTTTTCTAGTAAAAATTCTTTCCTAAATAGGTAGAATACTTCCTCAAAGCATTTTTACGTTGTTCCTCTGTAGTGGTTGATATCAGTTTAAGTTGTCAATTGGACTCACAAGACACAATAAGCTTTAATCTAATAATACATTTTTTGGTAACTTTATAGAGGGGTGCAAGGAAGGAGATACAGCCACAGGGCATCTTCAGTTCATTGGAAGGCCCAGCAGCTGTTGGGCCCACACTGTCTCTTTAGTCCCCCCACCTGCATAACGTGTGGGTACATTGCAGGTGGCTCCCCACCATTATTTTATACCACTGTGCACACGTAAGCCTAAGGCCTGTGTGCCAGCTCACAGATCCATTCCCCTGGATTAGGGCTCTCACAGCAAACACGACAATCATAGGATAAATTCCACACTGATCCTAACTCTGCAGCCTCCAGAAAAAAACAATACTCTGGGAAGACAGACTCGGAGGTCATTTTTCCAGTCAGGCTTGGCCAGCCCTGGTGTTAACTCTTTCCTCACCTGCTGGAAACCAGGGGCTGCAGTGTAAAAGAGCTGGGCCATTTTGTGAAAAATATCATCGGTTGCCTGGGAATCCCTGCTTTTCTGGATTGTCAGGTGAGTTGACCTAGGGCCTCATAATTTATTTTTGGAATCTGCAGAATGGAAGGAGGTATTTGGTATTTGTACCAGTACACAACCTGCTGTAGCTTGGCATTCAGAATTACCTGCTGGAGTAAGAGTAATGCCTGTGAGGAATGGGTGAAGGCTGAAGTCGGGGAGTGCCTGGGCCAAGGCAGGCATCTGCCCAGTTCTCTCATCAGCAGTGAAACAGAGCATCCCTGCAGACACAAGGACCTGTTAAGGGCACAGCAGCCCTGGACTAGCTATGACAGAATCAGAGATGAGCAGTACCAAATGGTATCCTACTGTGCTTGGGGAACGCCTTTCACATGGGCTCGGAAGTGACCCTCCCACTGGAAGGAAAGGAGGGTAGATAAGGGCAATGATGAGTTTATTCTTGCAGCTGCCAAAGAAAATCTGGACTATGTAGAAGAAAGCAAATTACCAGGGAAAAAGGAATTCTTGGAATAAGGAAGAAAAGAAAAGGAAGAATCAGGTAGAACTATTTAGGTGGCTGCAAAGACATGTGATGAAGTGGTAGGAAATTGACAGGACTCCTATGAAAAACTTACTGACAAGTTATCAGAGGTTGGGAGAAATCTAATCTAGCACCAGCAGCGGCCACCACTAAAAAATTCTGTTAGATCTGTTGCTTTATCAAAGTCTGTAGAAATGTAAGCCCAGTGATGCCAAAAGGGAATGAGGATACAAAGTGCTGGCCCAGGTGTTAAATTTACTCCTCTGTTAAAGCAGTGAAACCCAAAGCAGGTTGACTTGAAGGCCAAGATCTCCCTGCCCAACCTCCAGCAGGGGATCTGAAGCCGTATGCTCTGGGTAGAATGGAATAGCCTGGGGCTGGAGAATGAAGCTTTTTAAGTTTCCTGGATATTGATGCACTGCTCTGTAATGCATGCTGGAGAGAAAGAGGTGAAATATTAAGGGACCAAGAGTGAGGCTTGAGGGGCATTCCAATGTCATCGTAGAAGGTGTCAAAGTCACAGTAAGAGTTCATATACAAAAAGAAAAATGGACAAAACTTGCTGTAGTGGCATCACCTTTACCTGGATGTGTAAGTGGAATGGTTGTGCTGGATGAAGTCTTGTGCTTTTCAGCATGCAGCCAAATATAGGGCACAGCATGCACCAACTCTTTATGTCCTAAGTGAACATTGTCAATTATGTGATATTGAGATAGCAGCAGTGTTCCTTTGTCTTTCCCAAATATCTATCCCATTGATCTACTGAATCCAGAAATTTCAATTCCAGATATTCATTCCTTCGGTGTCTAGAACAGAGTCTCGCCCTTAAAAAGGGCTCAATAAATACTCACTAACTTATGTTAAAGAATGGTATGTTATAAGCTTGCAAAATAATGCTGGAAGCTACTACCAATCATTTACATTTTAAAGTAAATGTCTGTGTTAGAAATAGTTTATGCCTATAAGCAGCAAAATATGCAACTAGTAATAGTAATAACTAATATTTATTGATCACTTAACTGTGATTTAAGAAATATACTATGTTTACATGTATTAACTTATTTGTCACAACAACCCTGTAAGTATTGTTATTATTATGAGCATTTTAAAATATGAAGAAATAGGTACCAAGAGGTTGAATAATTTGCTTAAGCTCACACAATGGGTAAATTGCAGAGCCAGCATTCAAGTAGCTTATATAGTAGAGACGGTTATTTCACATGGGAAATCTAGAAAGTGGTGAATCTACGGTTGGTTCACTCAGGAGCTTTACCATGTCAGGACATTGGGTTGGTGTCTCTAACATTCTTTTGACTCTTTTTTGGCTCACCGTATAGCTGCTGTAATTCCGAGCATCACATCCCCATACAATTGTGTCCCAAGCAGGTGTGTGTGTTGGGGGAGGAGTTGGGACGAAGGTATCAATAAAGGAAGAAAAGTCTTAGATGGGTAGATAGTTCTTGTAAGAAATGCTCCCGCTTTATGCCTGTTAAAAATCGGGCTGGCTGTGACTGTAGTTAGCAGCCTGCCTGTGCACAGGCACTAAACTTCAAAATGCAATACAAAGGTAGAAGACAGTCCAGGCAGGAATGCAGAGGCTCTTGACGTATCACTTTATAGAGTCTCACAGCAGCTATTTCCTATAGTCATTTATGTGTCTGGTCTCTCTTGCCAGGCTGTACACTTCTTATGGATGGCGACTGAGACTGTCACCTTTTATAGCCCCGACACATGGTGGACTCTGTTCTGTTCATTTGAAGGGGCTTGTTTGGAGACAATGGGCTTCGTCTGCTCAACCATGAAGTTCTAGATTTTGCCTTATTCTGATGTCTGTACTGAGTGCATTGATGACTCCTTTCTATTGTGGATAATAAAAGCCACAACCCAAATGCTTTGTCTTTAAAAGAAAAGGATTTCATTCTCTTCAGCATTAGATGGAATGGATAACATATTAATCTTAGCATGTTCTGAATAGTCTCAACACAGTGTTGCATTAAAGAAGTATTAGGCTAATATCCAAAAAAATCCCTAGAAAAGCCATTTAGCTTTCACTGATGTCTTTCAACAAGGCTCCTGATGGAAATGCCTTTATATGTAGCAAAATTGTCTAAAATCCTCTTTCTCCATTCTCTCCCAGCACCTTGCATATCACACTGTGGCAGCTACCCCTAATATCTTCTCTTCTCTGTCTCAAAATTCTTTAAAGTCTCAACTCGTGCTAGCTCCTATCTTTCTCTTTCCCTCAGGCTCTATTCCACTCCTCCCCACCCCCAGACCCATTCTTTCATTCTTTGCCTCTTTTCCTATGAATATAGTCTCTCCTCTTTCAACTTTCCTGATGAACACAATCCAGGAAGCAAGTGACTCTTCCTCTCTTGAATCTGGGGAAAAAGTACTCTTGCATCAATATTTTCAATCTTCATCACAGTGGAAAGGGAAACAAGACAGAAACGTGACTCGGCAAGCAAGGAAATGGCCCATGGCCCAAATCAGCTGCTTTGTTGTGCAGGCTTTTCAACAATTTCTTTTCTTGGTCAAATTCTGTAACATCTTTTAGTTTCAATATTCTCATCTGTTAAATGGGTTCATAATTGAATGTTATTGTGAGGGTTAAAAGAATTGTTATATGTAAAGAACAGCTCCAGGTAGACACTTGAAATTTATCACAAATGTAGCCAGAAAAGGAACTAGAGATGAGCTCTTGGTTGGTTAGAAAACATTTGGAACTTAGGCCTCTGGCTGGGCAACTTCAAGGAGGGTTTTCATGAATTCAAGGTTTATAGTTCCTGCTGTGTTTACTTACAGGTTCCAGACAGGGTGATTTCTGTACTCAGTGATGTGCTGGAATAGGCTTGCACTGACTTGAGAGCCCAGCCATGCACATCTCTCCCCAACTCCACAGTCACTGACCTCATACCGGTGGCTTGAAATTGGCCATGGTGGAAGTGTTTACACTAAGGAAATGGGTATGCTAAAAAACAGTACTCCCCTAAGCCCACAGTTTAACATTACTAGCACACCACTGTCTATACCTCATATTTGGATTGGACTGGACTAGGCATTTTCAAACTTTTTCTGTAAAGGGCTAGATAATAAATATTTTAGTCTTTAGGGACCACACTGTCTGTTACAATTTCTCAGCTCTGATGTTGCAGTATGAAAATAATCATAGACAATAGGTAAATGGGCATGGCTTTATTCTAACACATTTAATTTATAAAAAATAAACAGGGGAATGATTTGGCCAATGGGACACAGTTTGCCAATCTCTGATCTGGGTAGTTGCTACAATTCCTTTTTCAATTGGTAGCAGTTAGAGAATAAACAAGAGAGTCAGCTGTGCAGTATAGTAGGTGGAGGCAACAAAACCAGAAGTATAAGAAGTAGAAATTTTCTTTTATTTATTTATTTATTTGAGACAGAGACTTGTTCTGTCACCCAGGCTGGAGTGCAGTGGCACAATCTTGGCTCACTGCAAACTCCACCTCCCACGTTCAAGTGATTCTCCTGCTTCAGCCTCCTGAGTAGCTGGGATTACAGGCACGTACCACCATGCCTGGCTAATTTTTGTATTTTTAGTAGAGACGTGGTTTCACCATGTTGGTCAGGCTGGTCTTGAACTCCTGATCTCATGATCTGCCAGCCTCAGCCTCCCAAAGTGCTGGGATTACAGGTGTGAGCCACCATTCCTGGCCTTTTTTTTTTTTTTAAACCTGCTTTAAGGCATTTATTAAAAGCCCATAACTAACATTATACTTGATGGTGAGACTGGATGCTTTCTCCCTCAGATTAGACACAACACATTATCCTATCACAGATCTCTCTTTAATTCAGAGTGAAATATCCAAATAACAGCCAGAAACAGTAACAAAGAGTAAAGGGCAACATATAGAAATAACCCACATGAGACTATACTCCATGATCAACTTTATATGCTGACAAATTGACACCAACTCTTTATTACCAAATAAAATAAAATAAAGTTTTTTTATACCAAGAAAGAGAAGTTTTTCCCATAAGAATAAAAGATGGAATATATAAAATTGGGAGGATATCCAGAACCCACCACATAACGTGATGGTGAAGCAGCATTGTTGTCTGGGGTAAATACCCAAAGTCTCATGCCAAGAAGATTAAGGACACAGACACACACAAAGAGTGAGTTTAGGAGCAGAGGTTTAATCAGCAAAAGAAAGAGAAAAGAGAACAGGTCTCTGTCGTGAGAGAGAGGGGCACCCAAAAGGGAAATCTGGCCCATGGCATAGTGCACTGAATTTTATAGGCAGGCTTGAGGAAGCAGTGTCTGATTAACGTAGAGCCCACAGACTGGTTGGACCAGGTGTGATGCTTACATAGCGTGCAGGGAAGGCTGGCCATCCCACCCTAATCCTATTATGCAAATGGACTTTCCACTTGGCTGGGGCCATGTTTTCTGCTTCTTACTGTACATGTGGCTGGCAAAGGGAAGGGAACATGGAGCCACCATTTTGAACATGCCTAGTCCCAGGCAGCCTTTTCTTACTGGCACAACTGCTGGCATTCACCCCTGCAAGCTTCTAGCTTGCTTGTCTATGTCTGCAGCTTGATTTTGCAGGCTGCTCTTTCTTAGAAAAGAAAATGATTTGAGGGCTGCTTTTCATTAAAAGGAAAACATTACTGAGGACTCCTGTACCCTCATTATCTGCCTAAATAATTTCTTCTTAACTCCTATATCAATGGTTAATACTGAGTGTCAACTTGATTGGATTGAAGGATGCAAAGTATTGTTCCTGGGTGTGTCTATGAAGGTGTTGCCAAAGGAAATTAACATTTGGGTCAGTGCACTGGGAGAGGCAGATCTACCCTAAATCTCGGTGGGCACAATCTAATCAGCTGCTAGTGTGGTCAGAATAATATTAGGCAGAGGAACGTGGACAGACTAGAGTGGCTGAGTCTTCTGGCCTTTATTTTTCTCCTATGCTGGCTGCTTCCTGCCCTCAAACATCAGACTCCAAGTTCTTCAGCTTTGGGAATCTTGGGCCTTTGATGACAGACTGAAGGCTACACTGTTGGCTTCCCTACTTTCGAGGTTTTGGGACTTGAACTGGCTTCCTTGCTCCTCAGCTTGCAGACAGCTTATTATGGGACCTCACCATGTGATTGTGTGAGTCAATACTCCTTAATAAACTCCCCTTTATATATACATCTATCCTATTAATTCTATCTCTCTAGAGAGCCCCAATATATAAGGTGAGTAAAAAAAAATCCCAACAATAAAGACTCAATTATCAGTGACATATTAATCACAGAAGAATTAAACAACTGTATAAAAATTAACCTACCTATATATTAGCAATACATTTCATTTCACCCAACAGATTCAAAATACTTTATTTATTTATTTTTATTATACTTTAAGTTCTGGGATACATGTGCAGAATGTGCAGGTTTGTTACATAGGTATGTATACATGTGCCATGGTGGTTTGCCGAAACCATCAACCTGTCATCTACATTAGGTATTTCTCCTAATGCTATCCCTCCCCTTGTCCCCCACCCCCTGACAGGTCCCAGTTTGTGATGTTCCCCTCCCTGTGCCCATATGTTCTCATTGTTCAATGCCCACTTATGAGTGAGAACATGCAGTGTTTATTTTTCTGTTCCTGTGTTAGCTTGCTGAGAATGATGATTTCCAGCTTCATCTATGTCCCTGCAAAGGACATGAACTCATTCTTTTTTATGGCTGTGTAGTATTCCATGGTGCATATGTGCAACATTTTCTTTATCCAGTCTAACATTGATGGGCATTTGGGTTGGTTCCAAGTCTTTGCTAATGTGAATAGTGCTGCAATAAGCATACGTGTGCATGTGTCTTTATAGTAGAATGATTTATAATCCTTTGGGTATATACCCAGTAATGGGATTGCTGGGACAAATGGTATTTCTAGTTTTAGATCCTTGAAGAATCACCACACTGTCTTCCACAATGGTTGAACTGATTTACACTCCCACCGATAGTGTAAAAGTGTTTCTATTTCTCTACATCCTCTTCACTGTCTGTTGTTTCCTGACTTTTTAATGATCGCCATTCTAACTGGTGTGAGATGGTATCTCATTGTGGTTTTGATTTGCATTTCTCTGATGACCAGTGATGGAGCTTTTTTTCATATGTTTGTTGGCTGCATAAATGTCTTCTTTTGAAAAGCGTCTGTTCATATCCTTTGCCCACCTTTTGATGGGGTTGTTTGTTTTTTTTTCTTGCAAATGTGTTTAAGTTCCTTGTAGGTTCTGGATATTAGCCCTTTGTCAGATGTATAGCTTGCAAAAATTTTCTCCCATTCTGTAGGTTGCCTTTTCACTCTGATGATAGTTTCTTTTGCTATGTAGAAGCTCTTTAGTTTAATTAGATCCCATTTGTCAATTTTGGCTTTTGTTGAAATTGCTTTTGGTGTTTTAGTCATGAAGTGTTTGCCCATGCCTATATCCTGAATGGTATTGCCTAGGTTTTCTTCCAGGGTTTTTATGGTTTTAAGTCTTCCATTTAAATCTTTAACCCATTTTGAATTAATTTTTGTATAAGGTGTGAGGAAGGGGTCCAGTTTCAGTTTTCTGTATATGGCTAGCCAGTTTTCTCAATACAATTTATTAAATAGGGAATCCTTTCCCCACTGGTTGTTCAAAATATTTTAAAATGGATAGAAAAAATTTTATCTTGCTTTAACAAACAAAACAAAACAAAACAAAAACCCCAA